>NC_000006.12:59739514-59818963 GCF_000001405.40 Homo sapiens
TTGTGATGTGTGCGTTGAACTCACCGTCTTTAACCTTTCTTTTGGTAGAGAAGTTTTGAAACACTCTCTTTGTAAAGTCTACAAGTGGATATTTTGAGCCCTTGGAGGCATTCTTTGGAAAAGGGAATGTCTTCACATAAAAGGCAGACAGAAGTGTTCTCAGAAACTGCTTTGTGATGTCTGTGTTCAACTCACAGAGTTTAACATTTCCTTTGAGAGAGCGGTTTAGTAACACTCTCTTTGTAGAATTTGGAAGTGTATACTAAGAGCGCTTTGAGGCCTATGGTAGAAAAGGAAATATCTTTCCATAAAAGCTAGACAGAAGCAATCTCAGAAACTCCTTTGTGATGTCTGCATTCAACTCACCGAGTGGAACATTCCTCTTGATAGAGCAGTTTGGAAACACTCTTTCTGTAGAATCAGCTTGTTTGTATTTGGATCTCCTTGAGGCCTTCGTTGGAAACGGGTTTTCATCTTATAAACCCAGACAGAAGAATTCTCAGAGTCTTCTTTGTGATGTGTGCTTTCAACTCACCGAGATAAAGATTTCTCTTGATAGAGCAATTTGGAAACACTCTTTTTGTAGAATTTGCAAGGGTACATTGAGAGCGCTTTCAGGCCTATGGTAGAAAAGGGAATATCTTTCCATAAAAGGTAGACAGAAGCAATCTCAGAAACTACTTTGTGATGTGTGCATTCAACTCACCGAGTGCAACATTCCTCTTGATAGAGCAGTTTGGAAACATTGTTTCTGTAGAATCTGCAAGTGGATATATGGACCGCTTTGAGGCCTTCGTTGGAAACGGGATTTCTTCCTATAAACCCAGACAGAAGAATTCTCAGAGATTTCTTTGTGATGTGTGAATTCAACTCACAGTGTGGATCCTTCCTTTTGATAGAGCAGTTTTGAAACACTGTTTTTGTAGTATTTCCAAGCGGATATTTGGAACGCCTTGAAGCGTATGGTAGAAAAGGAAATATCTTCCCATAAAACCTAGACAGAACCCATCTCAGAAACGACTTTGTGATGTCTGCATTCAACTCACAGAGTTGAACATTTCTCTTGATAGAGCAGTTTTGAAACCCTCTTTCTGAAGGATCTGCAAGTGGATATTTGGAACTCCTTTGGGTCTTCGTTGGAAACGGGATTTCTTCGTATAAATCCAGACAGAAGAATTCTCCGAAACTTCTTTGGTTGTGTGCATTCAAGTCACAGAGTGGAACCTTCCTTTGGATAGAGCAGTTTGAAACGCTGTGGTTGTAGTATTTCCAAGCGGATATTAGAGCGCCTTGAAGCCTATGGTAGAAAAGGAAATATCTTCCCATAAAACCTAGACGGAAGCAATCTCAGAAACTACTGTGTGATGGCTGCATTCCACACACACGGTGGAACATTTCTCTTGATAGAGCAGTTTTGAAACACTCTTTCTGTAGAATCTGCAAGTGGATAATTGGACCGCCTTGAGGCCTTCGTTGGAAACGGGATTTCTTCATGTTACTCTAGACAGAAGAATTCTCAAACACTGCTGTGTGATGTTTGCATGCAAGTCACAGAGTGCAACATTCCTCTTGATAGAGCAGTTGGGAAACACTCCTTTTGTAGAATTTGCAATGGGATATTTGGACTTCTTTGAGGCCTTCGTTGGAAACGGGATTTCTTCGTATGAATCTAGACAGAAGAATTCTCAGAAACTTCCTTGTGATGTGTGCATTCAACTCAGCGAGTGGCACCTTCCTTTGGATACAGCAGTTTTGAAACACTGTTTTTGTAGTATTTCCAAGCGGATATTTAGAGCGCCTTGAAGCCTATGCTAGAAATGGAAATATCTCCCCATAAAACCAAGACAGAAGCAATCTCAGAAACTAATGTGTGATGGCTGCATTCCACACACACGGTGGACCATTTCTCTTGATAGAGCAGTTTTGAAACACTCTTTCTGTAGAATCTGCAAGTGGATAATTGGACCTCCTAGAGGCCTTCGTTGGAAACGGGATTTCTTCATCTAAACCTACAGAGAAGAATTCTCAGTAACTTCTTCGGATGTGTGCATTCGACTCACAGAGTGGAACATTCCCTTCGATAGAGCAGTTTTGAGACACCGTTTTGGTAGAATTCCCAAGTGGATATTTAGAGCACTTTGAAGTCTCTGCTAGAAAAGGAAACATCTTCATGTAAAAAGTAGATAGAATCGTTCTCAGAAAGTGCTTAGTGACGTGTGCGTTCAACTCACAGAGTTTAACGTTTCTTTTGATAGAGCGTTTCTGAAACACCCTTCTTGTAGTAGCTGCAAGTGGATATTTGGACCTATTTGAGGCCTTCTTTGGAAACGGGATTTCTTCATGTAACTACTAGTTTGAAGAATTTTCAGAAACTCCTTTGTGATGTGTGCATTCAATTCAAAGAGTGAAACCTCCCTTTTCACAGAGCAGTTTTGAAACACTGTTTTTGTAGGATTTCCAAGGGGATATTTATAGCGCATTGAGCCTATGGCAGAAAAAGAAACATCTTCCTATAAAAACTAGACAGAATAATTCTCAGAATCTGCTTTGCGATGTGTGCGTTCAACTCACAGAGTAAAACTTTTCTTTTGATAGAGCAGTTTTGAAACACTCTTTTTGTAGTATTTGCATGTGTATATTTAGAGCGCATTGAAGCCCACAGTAGAAAAGGAAATAACTTCACCTAAAACCTAGACAGAAGCAATCTCAGAAACTACTTTGTGATGTGTACATTCAACTCACAGAGTGGAACTTTCCTCTTTATAGAGCAGTGTTGAAACACTCTTTTTGTAGAAACTGCAAGTGGATATTTGGACCTCTTTGAGGCCTTCGTTGGAAACGGGATTTCTTCCTATAACCCTAGACAGAAGAATTTTCAGAAACCTCATTGTGATGTGTGCGTTCATCTCACAGAGTGGAGTCTTCCGTTTGATAGAGAAGTTTTGAAACCCTGTTCTTGTAGGATTTCCAAGTGGATATTTAGACCACTTTGAAGCCTATGATAGAAAAGGAAACATCTTCATGGAAAACATAGATAGAATCATTCTCAGAAACAACTTTGTGATGTGTGCGTTGAACTCACCGTCTTTAACCTTTCTTTTGGTAGAGAAGTTTTGAAACACTCTCTTTGTAAAGTCTACAAGTGGATATTTTGAGCCCTTGGAGGCATTCTTTGGAAAAGGGAATGTCTTCACATAAAAGGCAGACAGAAGTGTTCTCAGAAACTGCTTTGTGATGTCTGTGTTCAACTCACAGAGTTTAACATTTCCTTTGAGAGAGCGGTTTAGTAACACTCTCTTTGTAGAATTTGGAAGTGTATACTAAGAGCGCTTTGAGGCCTATGGTAGAAAAGGAAATATCTTTCCATAAAAGCTAGACAGAAGCAATCTCAGAAACTCCTTTGTGATGTCTGCATTCAACTCACCGAGTGGAACATTCCTCTTGATAGAGCAGTTTGGAAACACTCTTTCTGTAGAATCAGCTTGTTTGTATTTGGACCTCCTTGAGGCCTTCGTTGGAAACGGGTTTTCATCTTATAAACCCAGACAGAAGAATTCTCAGAGTCTTCTTTGTGATGTGTGCTTTCAACTCACCGAGATAAAGATTTCTCTTGATAGAGCAATTTGGAAACACTCTTTTTGTAGAATTTGCAAGGGTACATTGAGAGCGCTTTCAGGCCTATGGTAGAAAAGGGAATATCTTTCCATAAAAGGTAGACAGAAGCAATCTCAGAAACTACTTTGTGATGTGTGCATTCAACTCACCGAGTGCAACATTCCTCTTGACCGAGCAGTTTGGAAACATTGTTTCTGTAGAATCTGCAAGTGGATATATGGACCGCTTTGAGGCCTTCGTTGGAAACGGGATTTCTTCCTATAAACCCAGACAGAAGAATTCTCAGAGATTTCTTTGTGATGTGTGAATTCAACTCACAGTGTGGATCCTTCCTTTTGATAGAGCAGTTTTGAAACACCGTTTTTGTAGTATTTCCAAGCGGATATTTGGAACGCCTTGAAGCGTATGGTAGAAAAGGAAATATCTTCCCATAAAACCTAGACAGAACCCATCTCAGAAACGACTTTGTGATGTCTGCATTCAACTCACAGAGTTGAACATTTCTCTTGATAGAGCAGTTTTGAAACCCTCTTTCTGAAGGATCTGCAAGTGGATATTTGGAACTCCTTTGGGTCTTCGTTGGAAACGGGATTTCTTCGTATAAATCCAGACAGAAGAATTCTCCGAAACTTCTTTGGTTGTGTGCATTCAAGTCACAGAGTGGAACCTTCCTTTGGATAGAGCAGTTTGAAACGCTGTGGTTGTAGTATTTCCAAGCGGATATTAGAGCGCCTTGAGGCCTATGGTAGAAAAGGAAATATCTTCCCATAAAACCTAGACGGAAGCAATCTCAGTAAACTACTGTGTGATGGCTGCATTCCACACACACGGTGGAACATTTCTCTTGATAGAGCAGTTTTGAAACACTCTTTCTGTAGAATCTGCAAGTGGATAATTGGACCGCCTTGAGGCCTTCGTTGGAAACGGGATTTCTTCATGTTACTCTAGACAGAAGAATTCTCAAACACTGCTATGTGATGTTTGCATGCAAGTCACAGAGTGCAACATTCCTCTTGATAGAGCAGTTGGGAAACACTCCTTTTGTAGAATTTGCAATGGGATATTTGGACTTCTTTGAGGCCTTCGTTGGAAACGGGATTTCTTCGTATGAATCTAGACAGAAGAATTCTCAGAAACTTCCTTGTGATGTGTGCATTCAACTCAGCGAGTGGCACCTTCCTTTGGATACAGCAGTTTTGAAACACTGTTTTTGTAGTATTTCCAAGCGGATATTTAGAGCGCCTTGAAGCCTATGCTAGAAATGGAAATATCTCCCCATAAAACCAAGACAGAAGCAATCTCAGAAACTAATGTGTGATGGCTGCATTCCACACACACGGTGGACCATTTCTCTTGATAGAGCAGTTTTGAAACACTCTTTCTGTAGAATCTGCAAGTGGATAATTGGACCTCCTAGAGGCCTTCGTTGGAAACGGGATTTCTTCATCTAAACCTACAGAGAAGAATTCTCAGTAACTTCTTCGGATGTGTGCATTCGACTCACAGAATGGAACATTCCGTTTGATAGAGCAGTTTTGAGACACCGTTTTTGTAGAATTCCCAAGTGGATATTTAGAGCACTTTGAAGTCTCTGCTAGAAAAGGAAACATCTTCATGTAAAAAGTAGATAGAATCGTTCTCAGAAAGTGCTTAGTGACGTGTGCGTTCAACTCACAGAGTTTAACGTTTCTTTTGATAGAGCGTTTCTGAAACACCCTTCTTGTAGTAGCTGCAAGTGGATATTTGGACCTATTTGAGGCCTTCTTTGGAAACGGGATTTCTTCATGTAACTCTAGATTGAAGAATTTTCAGAAACTCCTTTGTGATGTGTGCATTCAATTCAAAGAGTGAAACCTCCCTTTTCACAGAGCAGTTTTGAAACACTGTTTTTGTAGGACTTCCAAGGGGATATTTATAGCGCATTGATCCTATGGCAGAAAAAGAAACATCTTCCTATAAAAACTAGACAGAATAATTCTCAGAATCTGCTTTGCGATGTGTGCGTTCAACTCACAGAGTAAAACTTTTCTTTTGATAGAGCAGTTTTGAAACACTCTTTTTGTAGTATTTGCATGTGTATATTTAGAGCGCATTGAAGCACACAGTAGAAAAGGAAATAACTTCACCTAAAACCTAGACAGAAGCAATCTCAGAAACTACTTTGTGATGTGTACATTCAACTCACAGAGTGGAACTTTTCTCTTTATAGAGCAGTGTTGAAACACTCTTTTTGTAGAAACTGCAAGTGGATATTTGGACCTCTTTGAGGCCTTCGTTGGAAACGGGATTTCTTCCTATAACCCTAGACAGAAGAATTTTCAGAAACCTCATTGTGATGTGTGCGTTCATCTCACAGAGTGGAGTCTTCCGTTTGATAGAGAAGCTTTGAAACCCTGTTCTTGTAGGATTTCCAAGTGGATATTTAGACCACTTTGAAGCCTATGATAGAAAAGGAAACATCTTCATGGAAAACATAGATAGAATCATTCTCAGAAACAACTTTGTGATGTGTGCGTTGAACTCACCGTCTTTAACCTTTCTTTTGGTAGAGAAGTTTTGAAACACTCTCTTTGTAAAGTCTACAAGTGGATATTTTGAGCCCTTGGAGGCATTCTTTGGAAAAGGGAATGTCTTCACATAAAAGGCAGACAGAAGTGTTCTCAGAAACTGCTTTGTGATGTCTGTGTTCAACTCACAGAGTTTAACATTTCCTTTGAGAGAGCGGTTTAGTAACACTCTCTTTGTAGAATTTGGAAGTGTATACTAAGAGCGCTTTGAGGCCTATGGTAGAAAAGGAAATATCTTTCCATAAAAGCTAGACAGAAGCAATCTCAGAAACTCCTTTGTGATGTCTGCATTCAACTCACCGAGTGGAACATTCCTCTTGATAGAGCAGTTTGGAAACACTCTTTCTGTAGAATCAGCTTGTTTGTATTTGGACCTCCTTGAGGCCTTCGTTGGAAACGGGTTTTCATCTTATAAACCCAGACAGAAGAATTCTCAGAGTCTTCTTTGTGATGTGTGCTTTCAACTCACCGAGATAAAGATTTCTCTTGATAGAGCAATTTGGAAACACTCTTTTTGTAGAATTTGCAAGGGTACATTGAGAGCGCTTTCAGGCCTATGGTAGAAAAGGGAATATCTTTCCATAAAAGGTAGACAGAAGCAATCTCAGTAAACTACTTTGTGATGTGTGCATTCAACTCACCGAGTGCAACATTCCTCTTGATAGAGCAGTTTGGAAACATTGTTTCTGTAGAATCTGCAAGTGGATATATGGACCGCTTTGAGGCCTTCGTTGGAAACGGGATTTCTTCCTATAAACCCAGAGAGAAGAATTCTCAGAGATTTCTTTGTGATGTGTGAATTCAACTCACAGTGTGGATCCTTCCTTTTGATAGAGCAGTTTTGAAACACTGTTTTTGTAGTATTTCCAAGCGGATATTTGGAACGCCTTGAAGCGTATGGTAGAAAAGGAAATATCTTCCCATAAAACCTAGACAGAACCCATCTCAGAAACGACTTTGTGATGTCTGCATTCAACTCACAGAGTTGAACATTTCTCTTGATAGAGCAGTTTTGAAACCCTCTTTCTGAAGGATCTGCAAGTGGATATTTGGAACTCCTTTGGGTCTTCGTTGGAAACGGGATTTCTTCGTATAAATCCAGACAGAAGAATTCTCCGAAACTTCTTTGGTTGTGTGCATTCAAGTCACAGAGTGGAACCTTCCCTTTGGATAGAGCAGTTTGAAACGCTGTGGTTGTAGTATTTCCAAGCGGATATTAGAGCGCCTTGAGGCCTATGGTAGAAAAGGAAATATCTTCCCATAAAACCTAGACGGAAGCAATCTCAGAAACTACTGTGTGATGGCTGCATTCCACACACACGGTGGAACATTCCTCTTGATAGAGCAGTTTTGAAACACTCTTTCTGTAGAATCTGCAAGTGGATAATTGGAACGCCTTGAGGCCTTCGTTGGAAACGGGATTTCTTCATGTTACTCTAGACAGAAGAATTCTGAAACACTGCTATGTGATGTTTGCATTCAAGTCACAGAGTGCAACATTCCTCTTGATAGAGCAGTTGGGAAACACTCCTTTTGTAGTATGTGCAATGGGATATTTGGACTTCTTTGAGGCCTTCGTTGGAAACGGGATTTCTTCGTATGAATCTAGACAGAAGAATTCTCAGAAACTTCCTTGTGATGTGTGCATTCAACTCAGCGAGTGGCACCTTCCTTTGGATACAGCAGTTTTGAAACACTGTTTTTGTAGTATTTCCAAGCGGATATTTAGAGCGCCTTGAAGCCTATGCTAGAAATGGAAATATCTCCCCATAAAACCAAGACAGAAGCAATCTCAGAAACTAATGTGTGATGGCTGCATTCCACACACACGGTGGACCATTTCTCTTGATAGAGCAGTTTTGAAACACTCTTTCTGTAGAATCTGCAAGTGGATAATTGGACCTCCTAGAGGCCTTCGTTGGAAATGGGATTTCTTCATCTAAACCTACAGAGAAGAATTCTCAGTAACTTCTTCGGATGTGTGCATTCGACTCACAGAATGGAACATTCCGTTTGATAGAGCAGTTTTGAGACACCGTTTTTGTAGAATTCCCAAGTGGATATTTAGAGCACTTTGAAGTCTCTGCTAGAAAAGGAAACATCTTCATGTAAAAAGTAGATAGAATCGTTCTCAGAAAGTGCTTAGTGACGTGTGCGTTCAACTCACAGAGTTTAACGTTTCTTTTGATAGAGCGTTTCTGAAACACCCTTCTTGTAGTAGCTGCAAGTGGATATTTGGACCTATTTGAGGCCTTCTTTGGAAACGGGATTTCTTCATGTAACTCTAGATTGAAGAATTCTCAGAAACTCCTTTGTGATGTGTGCATTCAATTCAAAGAGTGAAACCTCCCTTTTCACAGAGCAGTTTTGAAACACTGTTTTTGTAGGATTTCCAAGGGGATATTTATAGCGCATTGAGCCTACGGCAGAAAAAGAAACACCTTCCTATAAAAACTAGACAGAATAATTCTCAGAATCTGCTTTGCCATGTGTGCGTTCAACTCACAGTGTAAAACTTTTCCTTTGATAGAGCAGTCTTGAAACACTCTTTTTGTAGTATTTGCATGTGTATATTTAGAGCGCATTGAAGCCCACAGTAGAAAAGGAAATAACTTCACCTAAAACCTAGACAGAAGCAATCTCAGAAACTACTTTGTGATGTGTACATTCAACTCACAGAGTGGAACTTTCCTCTTTATAGAGCAGTGTTGAAACACTCTTTTTGTAGAAACTGCAAGTGGATATTTGGACCTCTTTGAGGCCTTCGTTGGAAACGGGATTTCTTCCTATAACCCTAGACAGAAGAATTTTCAGAAACCTCATTGTGATGTGTGCGTTCATCTCACAGAGTGGAGTCTTCCGTTTGATAGAGAAGTTTTGAAACCCTGTTCTTGTAGGATTTCCAAGTGGATATTTAGACCACTTTGAAGCCTATGATAGAAAAGGAAACATCTTCATGGAAAACATAGATAGAATCATTCTCAGAAACAACTTTGTGATGTGTGCGTTGAACTCACCGTCTTTAACCTTTCTTTTGGTAGAGAAGTTTTGAAACACTCTCTTTGTAAAGTCTACAAGTGGATATTTTGAGCCCTTGGAGGCATTCTTTGGAAAAGGGAATGTCTTCACGTAAAAGGCAGACAGAAGTGTTCTCAGAAACTGCTTTGTGATGTCTGTGTTCAACTCACAGAGTTTAACATTTCCTTTGAGAGAGCGGTTTAGTAACACTCTCTTTGTAGAATTTGGAAGTGTATACTAAGAGCGCTTTGAGGCCTATGGTAGAAAAGGAAATATCTTTCCATAAAAGCTAGACAGAAGCAATCTCAGAAACTCCTTTGTGATGTCTGCATTCAACTCACCGAGTGGAACATTCCTCTTGATAGAGCAGTTTGGAAACACTCTTTCTGTAGAATCAGCTTGTTTGTATTTGGACCTCCTTGAGGCCTTCGGTTGGAAACGGGTTTTCATCTTATAAACCCAGACAGAAGAATTCTCAGAGTCTTCTTTGTGATGTGTGCTTTCAACTCACCGAGATAAAGATTTCTCTTGATAGAGCAATTTGGAAACACTCTTTTTGTAGAATTTGCAAGGGTACATTGAGAGCGCTTTCAGGCCTATGGTAGAAAAGGGAATATCTTTCCATAAAAGGTAGACAGAAGCAATCTCAGAAACTACTTTGTGATGTGTGCATTCAACTCACCGAGTGCAACATTCCTCTTGATAGAGCAGTTTGGAAACATTGTTTCTGTAGAATCTGCAAGTGGATATATGGACCGCTTTGAGGCCTTCGTTGGAAACGGGATTTCTTCCTATAAACCCAGACAGAAGAATTCTCAGAGACTTCTTTGTGATGTGTGAATTCAACTCACAGTGTGGATCCTTCCTTTTGATAGAGCAGTTTTGAAACACTGTTTTTGTAGTATTTCCAAGCGGATATTTGGAACGCCTTGAAGCGTATGGTAGAAAAGGAAATATCTTCCCATAAAACCTAGACAGAACCCATCTCAGAAACGACTTTGTGATGTCTGCATTCAACTCACAGAGTTGAACATTTCTCTTGATAGAGCAGTTTTGAAACCCTCTTTCTGAAGGAGCTGCAAGTGGATATTTGGAACTCCTTTGGGTCTTCGTTGGAAACGGGATTTCTTCGTATAAATCCAGACAGAAGAATTCTCCGAAACTTCTTTGGTTGTGTGCATTCAAGTCACAGAGTGGAACCTTCCTTTGGATAGAGCAGTTTGAAACGCTGTGGTTGTAGTATTTCCAAGCGGATATTAGAGCGCCTTGAGGCCTATGGTAGAAAAGGAAATATCTTCCCATAAAACCTAGACGGAAGCAATCTCAGAAACTACTGTGTGATGGCTGCATTCCACACACACGGTGGAACATTTCTCTTGATAGAGCAGTTTTGAAACACTCTTTCTGTAGAATCTGCAAGTGGATAATTGGACCGCCTTGAGGCCTTCGTTGGAAACGGGATTTCTTCATGTTACTCTAGACAGAAGAATTCTCAAACACTGCTGTGTGATGTTTGCATGCAAGTCACAGAGTGCAACATTCCTCTTGATAGAGCAGTTGGGAAACACTCCTTTTGTAGAATTTGCAATGGGATATTTGGACTTCTTTGAGGCCTTCGTTGGAAACGGGATTTCTTCGTATGAATCTAGACAGAAGAATTCTCAGAAACTTCCTTGTGATGTGTGCATTCAACTCAGCGAGTGGCACCTTCCTTTGGATACAGCAGTTTTGAAACACTGTTTTTGTACTATTTCCAAGCGGATATTTAGAGCGCCTTGAAGCCTATGCTAGAAATGGAAATATCTCCCCATAAAACCAAGACAGAAGCAATCTCAGAAACTAATGTGTGATGGCTGCATTCCACACACACGGTGGACCATTTCTCTTGATAGAGCAGTTTTGAAACACTCTTTCTGTAGAATCTGCAAGTGGATAATTGGACCTCCTAGAGGCCTTCGTTGGAAACGGGATTTCTTCATCTAAACCTACAGAGAAGAATTCTCAGTAACTTCTTCGGATGTGTGCATTCGACTCACAGAATGGAACATTCCCTTTGGTAGAGCAGTTTTGAGACACCGTTTTTGTAGAATTCCCAAGTGGATATTTAGAGCACTTTGAAGTCTCTGCTAGAAAAGGAAACATCTTCATGTAAAAAGTAGATAGAATCGTTCTCAGAAAGTGCTTAGTGACGTGTGTGTTCAACTCACAGAGTTTATCGTTTCTTTTGATAGAGCGTTTCTGAAACACCCTTCTTGTAGTAGCTGCAAGTGGATATTTGGACCTATTTGAGGCCTTCTTTGGAAACGGGATTTCTTCATGTAACTCTAGATTGAAGAATTTTCAGAAACTCCTTTGTGATGTGTGCATTCAATTCAAAGAGTGAAACCTCCCTTTTCACAGAGCAGTTTTGAAACACTGTTTTTGTAGGATTTCCAAGGGGATATTTATAGCGCATTGATCCTATGGCAGAAAAAGAAACATCTTCCTATGAAAACTAGACAGAATAATTCTCAGAATCTGCTTTGCGATGTGTGCGTTCAACTCACAGAGTAAAACTTTTCTTTTGATAGAGCAGTTTTGAAACACTCTTTTTGTAGTATTTGCATGTGTATATTTAGAGCGCATTGAAGCCCACAGTAGAAAAGGAAATAACTTCACCTAAAACCTAGACAGAAGCAATCTCAGAAACTACTTTGTGATGTGTACATTCAACTCACAGAGTGGAACTTTTCTCTTTATAGAGCAGTGTTGAAACACTCTTTTTGTAGAAACTGCAAGTGGATATTTGGACCTCTTTGAGGCCTTCGTTGGAAACGGGATTTCTTCCTATAACCCTAGACAGAAGAATTTTCAGAAACCTCATTGTGATGTGTGCGTTCATCTCACAGAGTGGAGTCTTCCGTTTGATAGAGAAGTTTTGAAACCCTGTTCTTGTAGGATTTCCAAGTGGATATTTAGACCACTTTGAAGCCTATGATAGAAAAGGAAACATCTTCATGGAAAACATAGATAGAATCATTCTCAGAAACAACTTTGTGATGTGTGCGTTGAACTCACCGTCTTTAACCTTTCTTTTGGTAGAGAAGTTTTGAAACACTCACTTTGTAAAGTCTACAAGTGGATATTTTGAGCCCTTGGAGGCATTCTTTGGAAAAGGGAATGTCTTCACATAAAAGGCAGACAGAAGTGTTCTCAGAAACTGCTTTGTGATGTCTGTGTTCAACTCACAGAGTTTAACATTTCCTTTGAGAGAGCGGTTTAGTAACACTCTCTTTGTAGAATTTGGAAGTGTATACTAAGAGCGCTTTGAGGCCTATGGTAGAAAAGGGAATATCTTTCCATAAAAGCTAGACAGAAGCAATCTCAGAAACTCCTTTGTGATGTCTGCATTCAACTCACCGAGTGGAACATTCCTCTTGATAGAGCAGTTTGGAAACACTCTTTCTGTAGAATCAGCTTGTTTGTATTTGGACCTCCTTGAGGCCTTCGTTGGAAACGGGTTTTCATCTTATAAACCCAGACAGAAGAATTCTCAGAGTCTTCTTTGTGATGTGTGCTTTCAACTCACCGAGATAAAGATTTCTCTTGATAGAGCAATTTGGAAACACTCTTTTTGTAGAATTTGCAAGGGTACATTGAGAGCGCTTTCAGGCCTATGGTAGAAAAGGGAATATCTTTCCATAAAAGGTAGACAGAAGCAATCTCAGAAACTACTTTGTGATGTGTGCATTCAACTCACCGAGTGCAACATTCCTCTTGACCGAGCAGTTTGGAAACATTGTTTCTGTAGAATCTGCAAGTGGATATTTGGACCTCTTTGAGGCCTTCGTTGGAAACGGGATTTCTTCCTATAAACCCAGACAGAAGAATTCTCAGAGACTTCTTTGTGATGTGTGAATTCAACTCACAGTGTGGATCCTTCCTTTTGATAGAGCAGTTTTGAAACACTGTTTTTGTAGTATTTCCAAGCGGATATTTGGAACGCCTTGAAGCGTATGGTAGAAAAGGAAATATCTTCCCATAAAACCTAGACAGAACCCATCTCAGAAACGACTTTGTGATGTCTGCATTCAACTCACAGAGTTGAACATTTCTCTTGATAGAGCAGTTTTGAAACCCTCTTTCTGAAGGATCTGCAAGTGGATATTTGGAACTCCTTTGGGTCTTCGTTGGAAACGGGATTTCTTCGTATAAATCCAGACAGAAGAATTCTCCGAAACTTCTTTGGTTGTGTGCATTCAAGTCACAGAGTGGAACCTTCCTTTGGATAGAGCAGTTTGAAACGCTGTGGTTGTAGTATTTCCAAGCGGATATTAGAGCGCCTTGAGGCCTATGGTAGAAAAGGAAATATCTTCCCATAAAACCTAGACGGAAGCAATCTCAGAAACTACTGTGTGATGGCTGCATTCCACACACACGGTGGAACATTTCTCTTGATAGAGCAGTTTTGAAACACTCTTTCTGTAGAATCTGCAAGTGGATAATTGGACCGCCTTGAGGCCTTCGTTGGAAACGGGATTTCTTCATGTTACTCTAGACAGAAGAATTCTCAAACACTGCTGTGTGATGTTTGCATGCAAGTCACAGAGTGCAACATTCCTCTTGATAGAGCAGTTGGGAAACACTCCTTTTGTAGAATTTGCAATGGGATATTTGGACTTCTTTGAGGCCTTCGTTGGAAACGGGATTTCTTCGTATGAATCTAGACAGAAGAATTCTCAGAAACTTCCTTGTGATGTGTGCATTCAACTCAGCGAGTGGCACCTTCCTTTGGATACAGCAGTTTTGAAACACTGTTTTTGTAGTATTTCCAAGCGGATATTTAGAGCGCCTTGAAGCCTATGCTAGAAATGGAAATATCTCCCCATAAAACCAAGACAGAAGCAATCTCAGAAACTAATGTGTGATGGCTGCATTCCACACACACGGTGGACCATTTCTCTTGATAGAGCAGTTTTGAAACACTCTTTCTGTAGAATCTGCAAGTGGATAATTGGACCTCCTAGAGGCCTTCGTTGGAAACGGGATTTCTTCATCTAAACCTACAGAGAAGAATTCTCAGTAACTTCTTCGGATGTGTGCATTCGACTCACAGAATGGAACATTCCCTTTGATAGAGCAGTTTTGAGACACCGTTTTTGTAGAATTCCCAAGTGGATATTTAGAGCACTTTGAAGTCTCTGCTAGAAAAGGAAACATCTTCATGTAAAAAGTAGATAGAATCGTTCTCAGAAAGTGCTTAGTGACGTGTGTGTTCAACTCACAGAGTTTAACGGTTTCTTTTGATAGAGCGTTTCTGAAACACCCTTCTTGTAGTAGCTGCAAGTGGATATTTGGACCTATTTGAGGCCTTCTTTGGAAACGGGATTTCTTCATGTAACTCTAGTTTGAAGAATTTTCAGAAACTCCTTTGTGATGTGTGCATTCAATTCAAAGAGTGAAACCTCCCTTTTCACAGAGCAGTTTTGAAACACTGTTTTTGTAGGATTTCCAAGGGGATATTTATAGCGCATTGAGCCTACGGCAGAAAAAGAAACATCTTCCTATAAAAACTAGACAGAATAATTCTCAGAATCTGCTTTGCGATGTGTGCGTTCAACCCACAGAGTAAAACTTTTCTTTTGATAGAGCAGTTTTGAAACACTCTTTTCGTAGTATTTGCATGTGTATATTTAGAGCGCATTGAAGCCCACAGTAGAAAAGGAAATAACTTCACCTAAAACCTAGACAGAAGCAATCTCAGAAACTACTTTGTGATGTGTACATTCAACTCACAGAGTGGAACTTTCCTCTTTATAGAGCAGTGTTGAAACACTCTTTTTGTAGAAACTGCAAGTGGATATTTGGACCTCTTTGAGGCCTTCGTTGGAAACGGGATTTCTTCCTATAACCCTAGACAGAAGAATTTTCAGAAACCTCATTGTGATGTGTGCGTTCATCTCACAGAGTGGAGTCTTCCGTTTGATAGAGAAGTTTTGAAACCCTGTTCTTGTAGGATTTCCAAGTGGATATTTAGACCACTTTGAAGCCTATGATAGAAAAGGAAACATCTTCATGGAAAACATAGATAGAATCATTCTCAGAAACAACTTTGTGATGTGTGCGTTGAACTCACCGTCTTTAACCTTTCTTTTGGTAGAGAAGTTTTGAAACACTCTCTTTGTAAAGTCTACAAGTGGATATTTTGAGCCCTTGGAGGCATTCTTTGGAAAAGGGAATGTCTTCACATAAAAGGCAGACAGAAGTGTTCTCAGAAACTGCTTTGTGATGTCTGTGTTCAACTCACAGAGTTTAACATTTCCTTTGAGAGAGCGGTTTAGTAACACTCTCTTTGTAGAATTTGGAAGTGTATACTAAGAGCGCTTTGAGGCCTATGGTAGAAAAGGAAATATCTTTCCATAAAAGCTAGACAGAAGCAATCTCAGAAACTCCTTTGTGATGTCTGCATTCAACTCACCGAGTGGAACATTCCTCTTGATAGAGCAGTTTGGAAACACTCTTTCTGTAGAATCAGCTTGTTTGTATTTGGACCTCCTTGAGGCCTTCGTTGGAAACGGGTTTTCATCTTATAAACCCAGACAGAAGAATTCTCAGAGTCTTCTTTGTGATGTGTGCTTTCAACTCACCGAGATAAAGATTTCTCTTGATAGAGCAATTTGGAAACACTCTTTTTGTAGAATTTGCAAGGGTACATTGAGAGCGCTTTCAGGCCTATGGTAGAAAAGGGAATATCTTTCCATAAAAGGTAGACAGAAGCAATCTCAGAAACTACTTTGTGATGTGTGCATTCAACTCACCGAGTGCAACATTCCTCTTGATAGAGCAGTTTGGAAACATTGTTTCTGTAGAATCTGCAAGTGGATATATGGACCGCTTTGAGGCCTTCGTTGGAAACGGGATTTCTTCCTATAAACCCAGACAGAAGAATTCTCAGAGACTTCTTTGTGATGTGTGAATTCAACTCACAGTGTGGATCCCTCCTTTTGATAGAGCAGTTTTGAAACACTGTTTTTGTAGTATTTCCAAGCGGATATTTGGAACGCCTTGAAGCGTATGGTAGAAAAGGAAATATCTTCCCATAAAACCTAGACAGAACCAATCTCAGAAACGACTTTGTGATGTCTGCATTCAACTCACAGAGATGAACATTTCTCTTGATAGAGCAGTTTTGAAACCCTCTTTCTGAAGGATCTGCAAGTGGATATTTGGAACTCCTTTGGGTCTTCGTTGGAAACGGGATTTCTTCGTATATATCCAGACAGAAGAATTCTCCGAAACTTCTTTGGTTGTGTGCATTCAAGTCACAGAGTGGAACCTTCCTTTGGATAGAGCAGTTTGAAACGCTGTGGTTGTAGTATTTCCAAGCGGATATTAGAGCGCCTTGAAGCCTATGGTAGAAAAGGAAATATCTTCCCATAAAACCTAGACGGAAGCAATCTCAGAAACTACTGTGTGATGGCTGCATTCCACACACACGGTGGAACATTTCTCTTGATAGAGCAGTTTTGAAACACTCTTTCTGTAGAATCTGCAAGTGGATAATTGGACCGCCTTGAGGCCTTCGTTGGAAACGGGATTTCTTCATGTTACTCTAGACAGAAGAATTCTCAAACACTGCTATGTGATGTTTGCATTCAAGTCACAGAGTGCAACATTCCTCTTGATAGAGCAGTTGGGAAACACTCCTTTTGTAGAATTTGCAATGGGATATTTGGACTTCTTTGAGGCCTTCGTTGGAAACGGGATTTCTTCGTATGAATCTAGACAGAAGAATTCTCAGAAACTTCCTTGTGATGTGTGCATTCAACTCAGCGAGTGGCACCTTCCTTTGGATACAGCAGTTTTGAAACACTGTTTTTGTAGTATTTCCAAGCGGATATTTAGAGCGCCTTGAAGCCTATGCTAGAAATGGAAATATCTCCCCATAAAACCAAGACAGAAGCAATCTCAGAAACTAATGTGTGATGGCTGCATTCCACACACACGGTGGACCATTTCTCTTGATAGAGCAGTTTTGAAACACTCTTTCTGTAGAATCTGCAAGTGGATAATTGGACCTCCTAGAGGCCTTCGTTGGAAACGGGATTTCTTCATCTAAACCTACAGAGAAGAATTCTCAGTAACTTCTTCGGATGTGTGCATTCGACTCACAGAATGGAACATTCCGTTTGATAGAGCAGTTTTGAGACACCGTTTTTGTAGAATTCCCAAGTGGATATTTAGAGCACTTTGAAGTCTCTGCTAGAAAAGGAAACATCTTCATGTAAAAAGTAGATAGAATCGTTCTCAGAAAGTGCTTAGTGACGTGTGTGTTCAACTCACAGAGTTTAACGTTTCTTTTGATAGAGCGTTTCTGAAACACCCTGCTTGTAGTAGCTGCAAGTGGATATTTGGACCTATTTGAGGCCTTCTTTGGAAACGGGATTTCTTCATGTAACTCTAGTTTGAAGAATTTTCAGAAACTCCTTTGTGATGTGTGCATTCAATTCAAAGAGTGAAACCTCCCTTTTCACAGAGCAGTTTTGAAACACTGTTTTTGTAGGATTTCCAAGGGGATATTTATAGCGCATTGAGCCTACGGCAGAAAAAGAAACATCTTCCTATAAAAACTAGACAGAATAATTCTCAGAATCTGCTTTGCGATGTGTGCGTTCAACCCACAGAGTAAAACTTTTCTTTTGATAGAGCAGTTTTGAAACACTCTTTTTGTAGTATTTGCATGTGTATATTTAGAGCGCATTGAAGCCCACAGTAGAAAAGGAAATAACTTCACCTAAAACCTAGACAGAAGCAATCTCAGAAACTACTTTGTGATGTGTACATTCTACTCACAGAGTGGAACTTTCCTCTTTATAGAGCAGTGTTGAAACACTCTTTTTGTAGAAACTGCAAGTGGATATTTGGACCTCTTTGAGGCCTTCGTTGGAAACGGGATTTCTTCCTATAACCCTAGACAGAAGAATTTTCAGAAACCTCATTGTGATGTGTGCGTTCATCTCACAGAGTGGAGTCTTCCGTTTGATAGAGAAGTTTTGAAACCCTGTTCTTGTAGGATTTCCAAGTGGATATTTAGACCACTTTGAAGCCTATGATAGAAAAGGAAACATCTTCATGGAAAACATAGATAGAATCATTCTCAGAAACAACTTTGTGATGTGTGCGTTGAACTCACCGTCTTTAACCTTTCTTTTGGTAGAGAAGTTTTGAAACACTCTCTTTGTAAAGTCTACAAGTGGATATTTTGAGCCCTTGGAGGCATTCTTTGGAAAAGGGAATGTCTTCACATAAAAGGCAGACAGAAGTGTTCTCAGAAACTGCTTTGTGATGTCTGTGTTCAACTCACAAGAGTGTAACATTTCCTTTGAGAGAGCGGTTTAGTAACACTCTCTTTGTAGAATTTGGAAGTGTATACTAAGAGCGCTTTGAGGCCTATGGTAGAAAAGGAAATATCTTTCCATAAAAGCTAGACAGAAGCAATCTCAGAAACTCCTTTGTGATGTCTGCATTCAACTCACCGAGTGGAACATTCCTCTTGATAGAGCAGTTTGGAAACACTCTTTCTGTAGAATCAGCTTGTTTGTATTTGGACCTCCTTGAGGCCTTCGTTGGAAACGGGTTTTCATCTTATAAACCCAGACAGAAGAATTCTCAGAGTCTTCTTTGTGATGTGTGCTTTCAACTCACCGAGATAAAGATTTCTCTTGATAGAGCAATTTGGAAACACTCTTTTTGTAGAATTTGCAAGGGTACATTGAGAGCGCTTTCAGGCCTATGGTAGAAAAGGGAATATCTTTCCATAAAAGGTAGACAGAAGCAATCTCAGAAACTACTTTGTGATGTGTGCATTCAACTCACCGAGTGCAACATTCCTCTTGATAGAGCAGTTTGGAAACATTGTTTCTGTAGAATCTGCAAGTGGATATATGGACCGCTTTGAGGCCTTCGTTGGAAACGGGATTTCTTCCTATAAACCCAGACAGAAGAATTCTCAGAGATTTCTTTGTGATGTGTGAATTCAACTCACAGTGTGGATCCTTCCTTTTGATAGAGCAGTTTTGAAACACCGTTTTTGTAGTATTTCCAAGCGGATATTTGGAACGCCTTGAAGCGTATGGTAGAAAAGGAAATATCTTCCCATAAAACCTAGACAGAACCCATCTCAGAAACGACTTTGTGATGTCTGCATTCAACTCACAGAGTTGAACATTTCTCTTGATAGAGCAGTTTTGAAACCCTCTTTCTGAAGGATCTGCAAGTGGATATTTGGAACTCCTTTGGGTCTTCGTTGGAAACGGGATTTCTTCGTATAAATCCAGACAGAAGAATTCTCCGAAACTTCTTTGGTTGTGTGCATTCAAGTCACAGAGTGGAACCTTCCTTTGGATAGAGCAGTTTGAAACGCTGTGGTTGTAGTATTTCCAAGCGGATATTAGAGCGCCTTGAGGCCTATGGTAGAAAAGGAAATATCTTCCCATAAAACCTAGACGGAAGCAATCTCAGAAACTACTGTGTGATGGCTGCATTCCACACACACGGTGGAACATTTCTCTTGATAGAGCAGTTTTGAAACACTCTTTCTGTAGAATCTGCAAGTGGATAATTGGACCGCCTTGAGGCCTTCGTTGGAAACGGGATTTCTTCATGTTACTCTAGACAGAAGAATTCTCAAACACTGCTGTGTGATGTTTGCATGCAAGTCACAGAGTGCAACATTCCTCTTGATAGAGCAGTTGGGAAACACTCCTTTTGTAGAATTTGCAATGGGATATTTGGACTTCTTTGAGGCCTTCGTTGGAAACGGGATTTCTTCGTATGAATCTAGACAGAAGAATTCTCAGAAACTTCCTTGTGATGTGTGCATTCAACTCAGCGAGTGGCACCTTCCTTTGGATACAGCAGTTTTGAAACACTGTTTTTGTACTATTTCCAAGCGGATATTTAGAGCGCCTTGAAGCCTATGCTAGAAATGGAAATATCTCCCCATAAAACCAAGACAGAAGCAATCTCAGAAACTAATGTGTGATGGCTGCATTCCACACACACGGTGGACCATTTCTCTTGATAGAGCAGTTTTGAAACACTCTTTCTGTAGAATCTGCAAGTGGATAATTGGACCTCCTAGAGGCCTTCGTTGGAAACGGGATTTCTTCATCTAAACCTACAGAGAAGAATTCTCAGTAACTTCTTCGGATGTGTGCATTCGACTCACAGAATGGAACATTCCGTTTGATAGAGCAGTTTTGAGACACCGTTTTTGTAGAATTCCCAAGTGGATATTTAGAGCACTTTGAAGTCTCTGCTAGAAAAGGAAACATCTTCATGTAAAAAGTAGATAGAATCGTTCTCAGAAAGTGCTTAGTGACGTGTGCGTTCAACTCACAGAGTTTAACGTTTCTTTTGATAGAGCGTTTCTGAAACACCCTTCTTGTAGTAGCTGCAAGTGGATATTTGGACCTATTTGAGGCCTTCTTTGGAAACGGGATTTCTTCATGTAACTCTAGATTGAAGAATTTTCAGAAACTCCTTTGTGATGTGTGCATTCAATTCAAAGAGTGAAACCTCCCTTTTCACAGAGCAGTTTTGAAACACTGTTTTTGTAGGATTTCCAAGGGGATATTTATAGCGCATTGAGCCTACGGCAGAAAAAGAAACATCTTCCTATAAAAACTAGACAGAATAATTCTCAGAATCTGCTTTGCCATGTGTGCGTTCAACTCACAGAGTAAAACTTTTCTTTTGATAGAGCAGTTTTGAAACACTCTTTTTGTAGTATTTGCATGTGTATATTTAGAGCGCATTGAAGCCCACAGTAGAAAAGGAAATAACTTCACCTAAAACCTAGACAGAAGCAATCTCAGAAACTACTTTGTGATGTGTACATTCAACTCACAGAGTGGAACTTTCCTCTTTATAAAGCAGTGTTGAAACACTCTTTTTGTAGAAACTGCAAGTGGATATGTGGACCTCTTTGAGGTCCTCGTTGGAAACGGGATTTCTTCCTATAACCCTAGACAGAAGAATTTTCAGAAACCTCATTGTGATGTGTGCGTTCATCTCACAGAGTGGAGTCTTCCGTTTGATAGAGAAGTTTTGAAACCCTGTTCTTGTAGGATTTCCAAGTGGATATTTAGACCACTTTGAAGCCTATGATAGAAAAGGAAACATCTTCATGGAAAACATAGATAGAATCATTCTCAGAAACAACTTTGTGATGTGTGCGTTGAACTCACCGTCTTTAACCTTTCTTTTGGTAGAGAAGTTTTGAAACACTCTCTTTGTAAAGTCTACAAGTGGATATTTTGAGCCCTTGGAGGCATTCTTTGGAAAAGGGAATGTCTTCACATAAAAGGCAGACAGAAGTGTTCTCAGAAACTGCTTTGTGATGTCTGTGTTCAACTCACAGAGTTTAACATTTCCTTTGAGAGAGCGGTTTAGTAACACTCTCTTTGTAGAATTTGGAAGTGTATACTAAGAGCGCTTTGAGGCCTATGGTAGAAAAGGAAATATCTTTCCATAAAAGCTAGACAGAAGCAATCTCAGAAACTCCTTTGTGATGTCTGCATTCAACTCACCGAGTGGAACATTCCTCTTGATAGAGCAGTTTGGAAACACTCTTTCTGTAGAATCAGCTTGTTTGTATTTGGACCTCCTTGAGGCCTTCGTTGGAAACGGGTTTTCATCTTATAAACCCAGACAGAAGAATTCTCAGAGTCTTCTTTGTGATGTGTGCTTTCAACTCACCGAGATAAAGATTTCTCTTGATAGAGCAATTTGGAAACACTCTTTTTGTAGAATTTGCAAGGGTACATTGAGAGCGCTTTCAGGCCTATGGTAGAAAAGGGAATATCTTTCCATAAAAGGTAGACAGAAGCAATCTCAGAAACTACTTTGTGATGTGTGCATTCAACTCACCGAGTGCAACATTCCTCTTGACCGAGCAGTTTGGAAACATTGTTTCTGTAGAATCTGCAAGTGGATATTTGGACCTCTTTGAGGCCTTCGTTGGAAACGGGATTTCTTCCTATAAACCCAGACAGAAGAATTCTCAGAGATTTCTTTGTGATGTGTGAATTCAACTCACAGTGTGGATCCTTCCTTTTGATAGAGCAGTTTTGAAACACTGTTTTTGTAGTATTTCCAAGCGGATATTTGGAACGCCTTGAAGCGTATGGTAGAAAAGGAAATATCTTCCCATAAAACCTAGACAGAACCAATCTCAGAAACGACTTTGTGATGTCTGCATTCAACTCACAGAGTTGAACATTTCTCTTGATAGAGCAGTTTTGAAACCCTCTTTCTGAAGGATCTGCAAGTGGATATTTGGAACTCCTTTGGGTCTTCGTTGGAAACGGGATTTCTTCGTATAAATCCAGACAGAAGAATTCTCCGAAACTTCTTTGGTTGTGTGCATTCAAGTCACAGAGTGGAACCTTCCTTTGGATAGAGCAGTTTGAAACGCTGTGGTTGTAGTATTTCCAAGCGGATATTAGAGCGCCTTGAGGCCTATGGTAGAAAAGGAAATATCTTCCCATAAAACCTAGACGGAAGCAATCTCAGAAACTACTGTGTGATGGCTGCATTCCACACACACGGTGGAACATTTCTCTTGATAGAGCAGTTTTGAAACACTCTTTCTGTAGAATCTGCAAGTGGATAATTGGACCGCCTTGAGGCCTTCGTTGGAAACGGGATTTCTTCATGTTACTCTAGACAGAAGAATTCTCAAACACTGCTATGTGATGTTTGCATTCAAGTCACAGAGTGCAACATTCCTCTTGATAGAGCAGTTGGGAAACACTCCTTTTGTAGAATTTGCAATGGGATATTTGGACTTCTTTGAGGCCTTCGTTGGAAACGGGATTTCTTCGTATGAATCTAGACAGAAGAATTCTCAGAAACTTCCTTGTGATGTGTGTATTCAACTCAGCGAGTGGCACCTTCCTTTGGATACAGCAGTTTTGAAACACTGTTTTTGTAGTATTTCCAAGCGGATATTTAGAGCGCCTTGAAGCCTATGCTAGAAATGGAAATATCTCCCCATAAAACCAAGACAGAAGCAATCTCAGAAACTAATGTGTGATGGCTGCATTCCACACACACGGTGGACCATTTCTCTTGATAGAGCAGTTTTGAAACACTCTTTCTGTAGAATCTGCAAGTGGATAATTGGACCTCCTAGAGGCCTTCGTTGGAAACGGGATTTCTTCATCTAAACCTACAGAGAAGAATTCTCAGTAACTTCTTCGGATGTGTGCATTCGACTCACAGAATGGAACATTCCGTTTGATAGAGCAGTTTTGAGACACCGTTTTTGTAGAATTCCCAAGTGGATATTTAGAGCACTTTGAAGTCTCTGCTAGAAAAGGAAACATCTTCATGTAAAAAGTAGATAGAATCGTTCTCAGAAAGTGCTTAGTGACGTGTGCGTTCAACTCACAGAGTGTAACGTTTCTTTTGATAGAGCGTTCCTGAAACACACTTCTTGTAGTAGCTGCAAGTGGATATTTGGACCTATTTGAGGCCTTCTTTGGAAACGGGATTTCTTCATGTAACTCTAGATTGAAGAATTCTCAGAAACTCCTTCGTGATGTGTGCATTCATTTCAAATAGTGAAACCTCCCTTTTCACAGAGCAGTTTTGAAACACTGTTTTTGTAGGATTTCCAAGGGGATATTTATAGCGCATTGAGCCTACGGCAGAAAAAGAAACATCTTCCTATAAAAACTAGACAGAATAATTCTCAGAATCTGCTTTGCCATGTGTGCGTTCAACTCACAGAGTAAAACTTTTCTTTTGATAGAGCAGTTTTGAAACACTCTTTTTGTAGTATTTGCATGTGTATATTTAGAGCGCATTGAAGCCCACAGTAGAAAAGGAAATAACTTCACCTAAAACCTAGACAGAAGCAATCTCAGAAACTACTTTGTGATGTGTACATTCAACTCACAGAGTGGAACTTTCCTCTTTATAGAGCAGTGTTGAAACACTCTTTTTGTAGAAACTGCAAGTGGATATTTGGACCTCTTTGAGGTCCTCGTTGGAAACGGGATTTCTTCCTATAACCCTAGACAGAAGAATTTTCAGAAACCTCATTGTGATGTGTGCGTTCATCTCACAGAGTGGAGTCTTCCGTTTGATAGAGAAGTTTTGAAACCCTGTTCTTGTAGGATTTCCAAGTGGATATTTAGACCACTTTGAAGCCTATGATAGAAAAGGAAACATCTTCATGGAAAACATAGATAGAATCATTCTCAGAAACAACTTTGTGATGTGTGCGTTGAACTCGCCGTCTTTAACCTTTCTTTGGTAGAGAAGGTTTGAAACACTCTCTTTGTAAAGTCTACAATTGGATATTTTGAGCCCTTGGAGGCATTCTTTGGAAAAGGGAATGTCTTCACGTAAAAGGCAGACAGAAGTGTTCTCAGAAACTGCTTTGTGATGTCTGTGTTCAACTCACAGAGTTTAACATTTCCTTTGAGAGAGCGGTTTAGTAACACTCTCTTTGTAGAATTTGGAAGTGTATACTAAGAGCGCTTTGAGGCCTATGGTAGAAAAGGAAATATCTTTCCATAAAAGCTAGACAGAAGCAATCTCAGAAACTCCTTTGTGATGTCTGCATTCAACTCACCGAGTGGAACATTCCTCTTGATAGAGCAGTTTGGAAACACTCTTTCTGTAGAATCAGCTTGTTTGTATTTGGACCTCCTTGAGGCCTTCGTTGGAAACGGGTTTTCATCTTATAAACCCAGACAGAAGAATTCTCAGAGTCTTCTTTGTGATGTGTGCTTTCAACTCACCGAGATAAAGATTTCTCTTGATAGAGCAATTTGGAAACACTCTTTTTGTAGAATTTGCAAGGGTACATTGAGAGCGCTTTCAGGCCTATGGTAGAAAAGGGAATATCTTTCCATCAAAGGTAGACAGAAGCAATCTCAGAAACTACTTTGTGATGTGTGCATTCAACTCACCGAGTGCAACGTTCCTCTTGACCGAGCAGTTTGGAAACATTGTTTCTGTAGAATCTGCAAGTGGATATTTGTACCTCTTTGAGGCCTTCGTTGGAAATGGGATTTCTTCCTATAAACCCAGACAGAAGAATTCTCAGAGATTTCTTTGTGATGTGTGAATTCAACTCACAGTGTGGATCCTTCCTTTTGATAGAGCAGTTTTGAAACACTGTTTTTGTAGTATTTCCAAGCGGATATTTGGAACGCCTTGAAGCGTATGGTAGAAAAGGAAATATCTTCCCATAAAACCTAGACAGAACCAATCTCAGAAACGACTTTGTGATGTCTGCATTCAACTCACAGAGTTGAACATTTCTCTTGATAGAGCAGTTTTGAAACCCTCTTTCTGAAGGATCTGCAAGTGGATATTTGGAACTCCTTTGGGTCTTCGTTGGAAACGGGATTTCTTCGTATAAATCTAGACAGAAGAATTCTCCGAAACTTCTTTGGTTGTGTGCATTCAAGTCACAGAGTGGAACCTTCCTTTGGATAGAGCAGTTTGAAACGCTGTGGTTGTAGTATTTCCAAGCGGATATTAGAGCGCCTTGAGGCCTATGGTAGAAAAGGAAATATCTTCCCATAAAACCTAGACGGAAGCAATCTCAGAAACTACTGTGTGATGGCTGCATTCAACACACACGGTGGAACATTTCTCTTGATAGAGCAGTTTTGAAACACTCTTTCTGTAGAATCTGCAAGTGGATAATTGGACCGCCTTGAGGCCTTCGTTGGAAACGGGATTTCTTCATGTTACTCTAGACAGAAGAGTTCTCAAACACTACTATGTGATGTTTGCATTCAAGTCACAGTGTGCAACATTCCTCTTGATAGAGCAGTTGGGAAACACTCCTTTTGTAGAATTTGCAATGGGATATTTGGACCTCTTTGAGGCCTTCGTTGGAAACGGGATTTCTTCCTATAAACCCAGACAGAAGAATTCTCAGAAACTTCCTTGTGATGTGTGCATTCAACTCAGCGAGTGGCACCTTCCTTTGGATACAGCAGTTTTGAAACACTGTTTTTGTACTATTTCCAAGCGGATATTTAGAGCGCCTTGAAGCCTATGCTAGAAATGGAAATATCTCCCCATAAAACCAAGACAGAAGCAATCTCAGAAACTAATGTGTGATGGCTGCATTCCACACACACGGTGGACCATTTCTCTTGATAGAGCAGTTTTGAAACACTCTTTCTGTAGAATCTGCAAGTGGATAATTGGACCTCCTAGAGGCCTTCGTTGGAAACGGGATTTCTTCATCTAAACCTACAGAGAAGAATTCTCAGTAACTTCTTCGGATGTGTGCATTCGACTCACAGAATGGAACATTCCGTTTGATAGAGCAGTTTTGAGACACCGTTTTTGTAGAATTCCCAAGTGGATATTTAGAGCACTTTGAAGTCTCTGCTAGAAAAGGAAACATCTTCATGTAAAAAGTAGATAGAATCGTTCTCAGAAAGTGCTTAGTGACGTGTGTGTTCAACTCACAGAGTTTAACGTTTCTTTTGATAGAGCGTTTCTGAAACACCCCTCTTGTAGTAGCTGCAAGTGGATATTTGGACCTATTTGAGGCCTTCTTTGGAAACGGGATTTCTTCATGTAACTCTAGATTGAAGAATTTTCAGAAACTCCTTTGTGATGTGTGCATTCAATTCACAGAGTGAAACGTCCCTTTTCACAGAGCAGTTTTGAAACACTGTTTTTGTGGGATTTCCAAGGGGATATTTATAGCACATAGAGCCTACGGCAGAAAAAGAAACATCTTCCTATAAAAACTAGACAGAATAATTCTCAGAATCTGCTTTGCGATGTGTGCGTTCAACCCACAGAGTAAAACTTTTCTTTTGATAGAGCAGTTTTGAAACACTCTTTTTGTAGTATTTGCATGTGTATATTTAGAGCGCATTGAAGCCCACAGTAGAAAAGGAAATAACTTCACCTAAAACCTAGACAGAAGCAATCTCAGAAACTACTTTGTGATGTGTACATTCAACTCACAGAGTGGAACTTTTCTCTTTATAGAGCAGTGTTGAAACACTCTTTTTGTAGAAACTGCAAGTGGATATTTGGACCTCTTTGAGGCCTTCGTTGGAAACGGGATTTCTTCCTATAACCCTAGACAGAAGAATTTTCAGAAACCTCATTGTGATGTGTGCGTTCATCTCACAGAGTGGAGTCTTCCGTTTGATAGAGAAGTTTTGAAACCCTGTTCTTGTAGGATTTCCAAGTGGATATTTAGACCACTTTGAAGCCTATGATAGAAAAGGAAACATCTTCATGGAAAACATAGATAGAATCATTCTCAGAAACAACTTTGTGATGTGTGCGTTGAACTCACCGTCTTTAACCTTTCTTTTGGTAGAGAAGTTTTGAAACACTCTCTTTGTAAAGTCTACAAGTGGATATTTTGAGCCCTTGGAGGCATTCTTTGGAAAAGGGAATGTCTTCACATAAAAGGCAGACAGAAGTGTTCTCAGAAACTGCTTTGTGATGTCTGTGTTCAACTCACAGAGTTTAACATTTCCTTTGAGAGAGCGGTTTAGTAACACTCTCTTTGTAGAATTTGGAAGTGTATACTAAGAGCGCTTTGAGGCCTATGGTAGAAAAGGAAATATCTTTCCATAAAAGCTAGACAGAAGCAATCTCAGAAACTCCTTTGTGATGTCTGCATTCAACTCACCGAGTGGAACATTCCTCTTGATAGAGCAGTTTGGAAACACTCTTTCTGTAGAATCAGCTTGTTTGTATTTGGACCTCCTTGAGGCCTTCGTTGGAAACGGGTTTTCATCTTATAAACCCAGACAGAAGAATTCTCAGAGTCTTCTTTGTGATGTGTGCTTTCAACTCACCGAGATAAAGATTTCTCTTGATAGAGCAATTTGGAAACACTCTTTTTGTAGAATTTGCAAGGGTACATTGAGAGCGCTTTCAGGCCTATGGTAGAAAAGGGAATATCTTTCCATAAAAGGTAGACAGAAGCAATCTCAGAAACTACTTTGTGATGTGTGCATTCAACTCACCGAGTGCAACATTCGTCTTGATAGAGCAGTTTGGAAACATTGTTTCTGTAGAATCTGCAAGTGGATATATGGACCGCTTTGAGGCCTTCGTTGGAAACGGGATCTCTTCCTATAAACCCAGACAGAGAATTCTCAGAGATTTCTTTGTGATGTGTGAATTCAACTCACAGTGTGGATCCTTCCTTTTGATAGAGCAGTTTTGAAACACTGTTTTTGTAGTATTTCCAAGCGGATATTTGGAACGCCTTGAAGCGTATGGTAGAAAAGGAAATATCTTCCCATAAAACCTAGACAGAACCCATCTCAGAAACGACTTTGTGATGTCTGCATTCAACTCACAGAGTTGAACATTTCTCTTGATAGAGCAGTTTTGAAACCCTCTTTCTGAAGGATCTGCAAGTGGATATTTGGAACTCCTTTGGGTCTTCGTTGGAAACGGGATTTCTTCGTATAAATCCAGACAGAAGAATTCTCCGAAACTTCTTTGGTTGTGTGCATTCAAGTCACAGAGTGGAACCTTCCTTTGGATAGAGCAGTTTGAAACGCTGTGGTTGTAGTATTTCCAAGCGGATATTAGAGCGCCTTGAAGCCTATGGTAGAAAAGGAAATATCTTCCCATAAAACCTAGACGGAAGCAATCTCAGAAACTACTGTGTGACGGCTGCATTCCACACACACGGTGGAACATTTCTCTTGATAGAGCAGTTTTGAAACACTCTTTCTGTAGAATCTGCAAGTGGATAATTGGACCGCCTTGAGGCCTTCGTTGGAAACGGGATTTCTTCATGTTACTCTAGATAGAAGAATTCTCAAACACTGCTGTGTGATGTTTGCATGCAAGTCACAGAGTGCAACATTCCTCTTGATAGAGCAGTTGGGAAACACTCCTTTTGTAGAATTTGCAATGGGATATTTGGACTTCTTTGAGGCCTTCGTTGGAAACGGGATTTCTTCGTATGAATCTAGACAGAAGAATTCTCAGAAACTTCCTTGTGATGTGTGTATTCAACTCAGCGAGTGGCACCTTCCTTTGGATACAGCAGTTTTGAAACACTGTTTTTGTAGTATTTCCAAGCGGATATTTAGAGCGCCTTGAAGCCTATGCTAGAAATGGAAATATCTCCCCATAAAACCAAGACAGAAACAATCTCAGAAACTAATGTGTGATGGCTGCATTCCACACACACGGTGGACCATTTCTCTTGATAGAGCAGTTTTGAAACACTCTTTCTGTAGAATCTGCAAGTGGATAATTGGACCTCCTAGAGGCCTTCGTTGGAAACGGGATTTCTTCATCTAAACCTACAGAGAAGAATTCTCAGTAACTTCTTCGGATGTGTGCATTCGACTCACAGAATGGAACATTCCCTTTGATAGAGCAGTTTTGAGACACCGTTTTTGTAGAATTCCCAAGTGGATATTTAGAGCACTTTGAAGTCTCTGCTAGAAAAGGAAACATCTTCATGTAAAAAGTAGATAGAATCGTTCTCAGAAAGTGCTTAGTGACGTGTGCGTTCAACTCACAGAGTTTAACGTTTCTTTTGATAGAGCGTTTCTGAAACACCCTTCTTGTAGTAGCTGCAAGTGGATATTTGGACCTATTTGAGGCCTTCTTTGGAAACGGGATTTCTTCATGTAACTCTAGATTGAAGAATTTTCAGAAACTCCTTTGTGATGTGTGCATTCAATTCAAAGAGTGAAACCTCCCTTTTCACAGAGCAGTTTTGAAACACTGTTTTTGTAGGACTTCCAAGGGGATATTTATAGCGCATTGAGCCTATGGCAGAAAAAGAAACATCTTCCTATAAAAACTAGACAGAATAATTCTCAGAATCTGCTTTGCGATGTGTGCGTTCAACCCACAGAGTAAAACTTTTCTTTTGATAGAGCAGTTTTGAAACACTCTTTTTGTAGTATTTGCATGTGTATATTTAGAGCGCATTGAAGCACACAGTAGAAAAGGAAATAACTTCACCTAAAACCTAGACAGAAGCAATCTCAGAAACTACTTTGTGATGTGTACATTCAACTCACAGAGTGGAACTTTTCTCTTTATAGAGCAGTGTTGAAACACTCTTTTTGTAGAAACTGCAAGTGGATATTTGGACCAGCTTTGAGGCCTTCGTTGGAAACGGGATTTCTTCCTATAACCCTAGACAGAAGAATTTTCAGAAACCTCATTGTGATGTGTGCGTTCATCTCACAGAGTGGAGTCTTCCGTTTGATAGAGAAGTTTTGAAACCCTGTTCTTGTAGGATTTCCAAGTGGATATTTAGACCACTTTGAAGCCTATGATAGAAAAGGAAACATCTTCATGGAAAACATAGATAGAATCATTCTCAGAAACAACTTTGTGATGTGTGCGTTGAACTCACAGACTTTATCCTTTCTTTTGGTAGAGAAGTTTTGAAACACTCTCTTTGTAAAGTCTACAAGTGGATATTTTGAGCCCTTGGAGGCATTCTTTGGAAAAGGGAATGTCTTCACATAAAAGGCAGACAGAAGTGTTCTGAGAAACTGCTTTGTGATGTCTGCGTTCAACTCACAGAGTTTAACATTTCCTTTGATATAACAGTTTAAAAACACTCTTTGTAGAATTTGGAAGTGTATATTAAGAGCGCTTTGAGACCTATGGTAGAAAAGTAAATATCTTTCCATAGAAGCTGGAGAGAAGCAATCTCAGAAACTCCTTTGTGATGTCTGCATTCAACACACCAAGTGGAACATTCCTCTTGATAGAGCAGTTTGGAAACAATCTTTCTGTAGAATATGCTAGTGGATATTTGGACCTCCTTGAGGCCTTCCTTGGAAAGGGGATTTTTTTCATATAAACCCATACAGAAGAATTCTCAGAGTCTTCTTTGTGATGTGTGCTTTCAACTCACCGAGATAAAGATTTCTCTTGATAGAGCAATTTGGAAACACTCTTTTTGTAGAATTTGCAAGGGTACATTGAGAGCGCTTTCAGGCCTATGGTAGAAAAGGGAATATCTTTCCATAAAAGGTAGACAGAAGCAATCTCAGAAACTACTTTGTGATGTGTGCATTCAACTCACCGAGTGCAACATTCCTCTTGACGGAGCAGTTTGGAAACATTGTTTCTGTAGAATCTGCAAGTGGATATTTGGACCTCTTTGAGGCCTTCGTTGGAAACGGGATTTCTTCCTATAAACCCAGACAGAAGAATTCTCAGAGATTTCTTTGTGATGTGTGAATTCAACTCACAGTGTGGATCCTTCCTTTTGATAGAGCAGTTTTGAAACACTGTTTTTGTAGTATTTCCAAGCGGATATTTGGAACGCCTTGAAGCGTATGGTAGAAAAGGAAATATCTTCCCATAAAACCTAGACAGAACCCATCTCAGAAACGACTTTGTGATGTCTGCATTCAACTCACAGAGTTGAACATTTCTCTTGATAGAGCAGTTTTGAAACCCTCTTTCTGAAGGATCTGCAAGTGGATATTTGGAACTCCTTTGGGTCTTCGTTGGAAACGGGATTTCTTCGTATAAATCCAGACAGAAGAATTCTCCGAAACTTCTTTGGTTGTGTGCATTCAAGTCACAGAGTGGAACCTTCCTTTGGATAGAGCAGTTTGAAACGCTGTGGTTGTAGTATTTCCAAGCGGATATTAGAGCGCCTTGAAGCCTATGGTAGAAAAGGAAATATCTTCCCATAAAAACTAGACGGAAGCAATCTCAGAAACTACTGTGTGATGGCTGCATTCCACACACACGGTGGAACATTTCTCTTGATAGAGCAGTTTTGAAACACTCTTTCTGTAGAATCTGCAAGTGGATAATTGGACCGCCTTGAGGCCTTCGTTGGAAACGGGATTTCTTCATGTTACTCTAGACAGAAGAATTCTCAAACACTGCTATGTGATGTTTGCATGCAAGTCACAGAGTGCAACATTCCTCTTGATAGAGCAGTTGGGAAACACTCCTTTTGTAGAATTTGCAATGGGATATTTGGACTTCTTTGAGGCCTTCGTTGGAAACGGGATTTCTTCATATGAATCTAGACAGAAGAATTCTCAGAAACTTCCTTGTGATGTGTGCATTCAACTCAGCGAGTGGCACCTTCCTTTGGATACAGCAGTTTTGAAACACTGTTTTTGTAGTATTTCCAAGCGGATATTTAGAGCGCCTTGAAGCCTATGCTAGAAATGGAAATATCTCCCCATAAAACCAAGACAGAAGCAATCTCAGAAACTAATGTGTGATGGCTGCATTCCACACACACGGTGGACCATTTCTCTTGATAGAGCAGTTTTGAAACACTCTTTCTGTAGAATCTGCAAGTGGATAATTGGACCTCCTAGAGGCCTTCGTTGGAAACGGGATTTCTTCATCTAAACCTACAGAGAAGAATTCTCAGTAACTTCTTCGGATGTGTGCATTCGACTCACAGAATGGAACATTCCGTTTGATAGAGCAGTTTTGAGACACCGTTTTTGTAGAATTCCCAAGTGGATATTTAGAGCACTTTGAAGTCTCTGCTAGAAAAGGAAACATCTTCATGTAAAAAGTAGATAGAATCGTTCTCAGAAAGTGCTTAGTGACGTGTGCGTTCAACTCACAGAGTTTAACGTTTCTTTTGATAGAGCGTTTCTGAAACACCCTTCTTGTAGTAGCTGCAAGTGGATATTTGGACCTATTTGAGGCCTTCTTTGGAAACGGGATTTCTTCATGTAACTCTAGATTGAAGAATTTTCAGAAACTCCTTTGTGATGTGTGCATTCAATTCAAAGAGTGAAACCTCCCTTTTCACAGAGCAGTTTTGAAACACTGTTTTTGTAGGATTTCCAAGGGGATATTTATAGCGCATTGAGCCTATGGCAGAAAAAGAAACATCTTCCTATAAAAACTAGACAGAATAATTCTCAGAATCTGCTTTGCGATGTGTGCGTTCAACCCACAGAGTAAAACTTTTCTTTTGATAGAGCAGTTTTGAAACACTCTTTTTGTAGTATTTGCATGTGTATATTTAGAGCGCATTGAAGCCCACAGTAGAAAAGGAAATAACTTCACCTAAAACCTAGACAGAAGCAATCTCAGAAACTACTTTGTGATGTGTACATTCAACTCACAGAGTGGAACTTTCCTCTTTATAGAGCAGTGTTGAAACACTCTTTTTGTAGAAACTGCAAGTGGATATTTGGACCTCTTTGAGGCCTTCGTTGGAAACGGGATTTCTTCCTATAACCCTAGACAGAAGAATTTTCAGAAACCTCATTGTGATGTGTGCGTTCATCTCACAGAGTGGAGTCTTCCGTTTGATAGAGAAGTTTTGAAACCCTGTTCTTGTAGGATTTCCAAGTGGATATTTAGACCACTTTGAAGCCTATGATAGAAAAGGAAACATCTTCATGGAAAACATAGATAGAATCATTCTCAGAAACAACTTTGTGATGTGTGCGTTGAACTCACCGTCTTTAACCTTTCTTTTGGTAGAGAAGTTTTGAAACACTCTCTTTGTAAAGTCTACAAGTGGATATTTTGAGCCCTTGGAGGCATTCTTTGGAAAAGGGAATGTCTTCACATAAAAGGCAGACAGAAGTGTTCTCAGAAACTGCTTTGTGATGTCTGTGTTCAACTCACAGAGTGTAACATTTCCTTTGAGAGAGCGGTTTAGTAACACTCTCTTTGTAGAATTTGGAAGTGTATACTAAGAGCGCTTTGAGGCCTATGGTAGAAAAGGAATTATCTTTCCATAAAAGCTAGACAGAAGCAATCTCAGAAACTCCTTTGTGATGTCTGCATTCAACTCACCGAGTGGAACATTCCTCTTGATAGAGCAGTTTGGAAACACTCTTTCTGTAGAATCAGCTTGTTTGTATTTGGACCTCCTTCAGGCCTTCGTTGGAAACGGGTTTTCAAATTATAAACCCAGACAGAAGAATTCTCAGAGTCTTCTTTGTGATGTGTGTTTTCAACTCACCGAGATAAAGATTTCTCTTGATAGAGCAATTTGGAAACACTCTTTTTGTAGAATTTGCAAGGGTATATTGAGAGCGCTTTCAGGCCTATGGTAGAAAAGGGAATATCTTTCCATAAAAGGTAGACAGAAGCAATCTCAGAAACTCCTTTGTGATGTCTGCATTCAAGTCACCGAGTGGAACATTGCTCTTGATAGAGTAGTTTGGAAACACTGTTTCTGTAGAATCTGCAAGTGGATATTTGGAACTCTTTGAGGCCTTCGTTGGAAACGGGATTTCTTCTTATAAACCCAGACAGAAGAAATCTCAGAGACTTCTTTGTGATGTGTGAATTCAACTCACAGAGTGGATCCTTCCTTTTGATAGAGCAGTTTTCAAACACTGTTTTTATAGTATTTCCAAGCGGATATTTGGAGCGCCTTGAAGCCTATGGTAGAAAAGGAAATATCTTCCCATAAAACCAAGACAGAACCCATCTCAGAAACGACTTTGTGATGTCTGCATTCAACTCACAGAGTTGAACATTTCTCTTGATAGAGCAGTTTTGAAACCCTCTTTCTGAAGGAGCTGCAAGTGGATATTTGGAACTCCTTTGGGTCTTCGTTGGAAACGGGATTTCTTCGTATAAATCCAGACAGAAGAATTCTCCGAAACTTCTTTGGTTGTGTGCATTCAAGCCACAGTGTGGAGCTTTCCTTTGGATAGAGCAGTTTGAAAAGCTGTGGTTGTAGTATTTCCAAGCGGATATTAGAGCGCCTTGAGGCCTATGGTAGAAAAGGAAATATCTTCCCATAAAACCTAGACGGAAGCAATCTCAGAAACTACTGTGTGATGGCTGCATTCCACACACACGGTGGAACATTCCTCTTGATAGAGCAGTTTTGAAACACTCTTTCTGTAGAATCTGCAAGTGGATAATTGGACCGCCTTGAGGCCTTCGTTGGAAACGGGATTTCTTCATGTTACTCTAGACAGAAGAATTCTCAAACACTGCTATGTGATGTTTGCATGCAAGTCACAGAGTGCAACATTCCTCTTGATAGAGCAGTTGGGAAACACTCCTTTTGTAGAATTTGCAATGGGATATTTGGACTTCTTTGAGGCCTTCGTTGGAAACGGGATTTCTTCGTATGAATCTAGACAGAAGAATTCTCAGAAACTTCCTTGTGATGTGTGCATTCAACTCAGCGAGTGGCACCTTCCTGTGGATACAGCAGTTTTGAAACACTGTTTTTGTAGTATTTCCAAGCGGATATTTAGAGCGCCTTGAAGCCTATGCTAGAAATGGAAATATCTCCCCATAAAACCAAGACAGAAGCAATCTCAGAAACTAATGTGTGATGGCTGCATTCCACACACACGGTGGACCATTTCTCTTGATAGAGCAGTTTTGAAACACTCTTTCTGTAGAATCTGCAAGTGGATAATTGGACCTCCTAGAGGCCTTCGTTGGAAACGGGATTTCTTCATCTAAACCTACAGAGAAGAATTCTCAGTAACTTCTTCGGATGTGTGCATTCGACTCACAGAATGGAACATTCCCTTTGATAGAGCAGTTTTGAGACACCGTTTTTGTAGAATTCCCAAGTGGATATTTAGAGCACTTTGAAGTCTCTGCTAGAAAAGGAAACATCTTCATGTAAAAAGTAGATAGAATCGTTCTCAGAAAGTGCTTAGTGACGTGTGCGTTCAACTCACAGAGTTTAACGTTTCTTTTGATAGAGCGTTTCTGAAACACCCTTCTTGTAGTAGCTGCAAGTGGATATTTGGACCTATTTGAGGCCTTCTTTGGAAACGGGATTTCTTCATGTAACTCTAGTTTGAAGAATTTTCAGAAACTCCTTTGTGATGTGTGCATTCAATTCAAAGAGTGAAACCTCCCTTTTCACAGAGCAGTTTTGAAACACTGTTTTTGTAGGATTTCCAAGGGGATATTTATAGCGCATTGAGCCTATGGCAGAAAAAGAAACATCTTCCTATAAAAACTAGACAGAATAATTCTCAGAATCTGCTTTGCGATGTGTGCGTTCAACTCACAGAGTAAAACTTTTCTTTTGATAGAGCAGTTTTGAAACACTCTTTTTGTAGTATTTGCATGTGTATATTTAGAGCGCATTGAAGCCCACAGTAGAAAAGGAAATAACTTCACCTAAAACCTAGACAGAAGCAATCTCAGAAACTACTTTGTGATGTGTACATTCAACTCACAGAGTGGAACTTTCCTCTTTATAGAGCAGTGTTGAAACACTCTTTTTGTAGAAACTGCAAGTGGATATTTGGACCTCTTTGAGGCCTTCGTTGGAAACGGGATTTCTTCCTATAACCCTAGACAGAAGAATTTTCAGAAACCTCATTGTGATGTGTGCGTTCATCTCACAGAGTGGAGTCTTCCGTTTGATAGAGAAGTTTTGAAACCCTGTTCTTGTAGGATTTCCAAGTGGATATTTAGACCACTTTGAAGCCTGTGATAGAAAAGGAAACATCTTCATGGAAAACATAGATAGAATCATTCTCAGAAACAACTTTGTGATGTGTGCGTTGAACTCACCGTCTTTAACCTTTCTTTTGGTAGAGAAGTTTTGAAACACTCTCTTTGTAAAGTCTACAAGTGGATATTTTGAGCCCTTGGAGGCATTCTTTGGAAAAGGGAATGTCTTTACATAAAAGGCAGACAGAAGTGTTCTCAGAAACTGCTTTGTGATGTCTGTGTTCAACTCACAGAGTTTAACATTTCCTTTGAGAGAGCGGTTTAGTAACACTCTCTTTGTAGAATTTGGAAGTGTATACTAAGAGCGCTTTGAGGCCTATGGTAGAAAAGGAAATATCTTTCCATAAAAGCTAGACAGAAGCAATCTCAGAAACTCCTTTGTGATGTCTGCATTCAACTCACCGAGTGGAACATTCCTCTTGATAGAGCAGTTTGGAAACACTCTTTCTGTAGAATCAGCTTGTTTGTATTTGGACCTCCTTGAGGCCTTCGTTGGAAACGGGTTTTCATCTTATAAACCCAGACAGAAGAATTCTCAGAGTCTTCTTTGTGATGTGTGCTTTCAACTCACCGAGATAAAGATTTCTCTTGATACAGCAATTTGGAAACACCCTTTTTGTAGAATTTGCAAGGGTACATTGAGAGCGCTTTCAGGCCTATGGTAGAAAAGGGAATATCTTTCCATAAAAGGTAGACAGAAGCAATCTCAGAAACTACTTTGTGATGTGTGCATTCAACTCACCGAGTGCAACATTCCTCTTGATAGAGCAGTTTGGAAACATTGTTTCTGTAGAATCTGCAAGTGGATATATGGACCGCTTTGAGGCCTTCGTTGGAAACGGGATTTCTTCCTATAAACCCAGACAGAAGAATTCTCAGAGACTTCTTTGTGATGTGTGAATTCAACTCACAGTGTGGATCCTTCCTTTTGATAGAGCAGTTTTGAAACACTGTTTTTGTAGTATTTCCAAGCGGATATTTGGAACGCCTTGAAGCGTATGGTAGAAAAGGAAATATCTTCCCATAAAACCTAGACAGAACCCATCTCAGAAACGACTTTGTGATGTCTGCATTCAACTCACAGAGTTGAACATTTCTCTTGATAGAGCAGTTTTGAAACCCTCTTTCTGAAGGAGCTGCAAGTGGATATTTGGAACTCCTTTGGGTCTTCGTTGGAAACGGGATTTCTTCGTATAAATCCAGACAGAAGAATTCTCCGAAACTTCTTTGGTTGTGTGCATTCAAGTCACAGAGTGGAACCTTCCTTTGGATAGAGCAGTTTGAAACGCTGTGGTTGTAGTATTTCCAAGCGGATATTAGAGCGCCTTGAGGCCTATGGTAGAAAAGGAAATATCTTCCCATAAAACCTAGACGGAAGCAATCTCAGAAACTACTGTGTGATGGCTGCATTCCACACACACGGTGGAACATTTCTCTTGATAGAGCAGTTTTGAAACACTCTTTCTGTAGAATCTGCAAGTGGATAATTGGACCGCCTTGAGGCCTTCGTTGGAAACGGGATTTCTTCATGTTACTCTAGACAGAAGAATTCTCAAACACTGCTGTGTGATGTTTGCATGCAAGTCACAGAGTGCAACATTCCTCTTGATAGAGCAGTTGGGAAACACTCCTTTTGTAGAATTTGCAATGGGATATTTGGACTTCTTTGAGGCCTTCGTTGGAAACGGGATTTCTTCGTATGAATCTAGACAGAAGAATTCTCAGAAACTTCCTTGTGATGTGTGCATTCAACTCAGCGAGTGGCACCTTCCTTTGGATACAGCAGTTTTGAAACACTGTTTTTGTAGTATTTCCAAGCGGATATTTAGAGCGCCTTGAAGCCTATGCTAGAAATGGAAATATCTCCCCATAAAACCAAGACAGAAGCAATCTCAGAAACTAATGTGTGATGGCTGCATTCCACACACACGGTGGACCATTTCTCTTGATAGAGCAGTTTTGAAACACTCTTTCTGTAGAATCTGCAAGTGGATAATTGGACCTCCTAGAGGCCTTCGTTGGAAACGGGATTTCTTCATCTAAACCTACAGAGAAGAATTCTCAGTAACTTCTTCGGATGTGTGCATTCGACTCACAGAATGGAACATTCCGTTTGATAGAGCAGTTTTGAGACACCGTTTTTGTAGAATTCCCAAGTGGATATTTAGAGCACTTTGAAGTCTCTGCTAGAAAAGGAAACATCTTCATGTAAAAAGTAGATAGAATCGTTCTCAGAAAGTGCTTAGTGACGTGTGCGTTCAACTCACAGAGTTTAACGTTTCTTTTGATAGAGCGTTTCTGAAACACCCTTCTTGTAGTAGCTGCAAGTGGATATTTGGACCTATTTGAGGCCTTCTTTGGAAACGGGATTTCTTCATGTAACTCTAGATTGAAGAATTTTCAGAAACTCCTTTGTGATGTGTGCATTCAATTCAAAGAGTGAAACCTCCCTTTTCACAGAGCAGTTTTGAAACACTGTTTTTGTAGGATTTCCAAGGGGATATTTATAGCGCATTGAGCCTATGGCAGAAAAAGAAACATCTTCCTATAAAAACTAGACAGAATAATTCTCAGAATCTGCTTTGCGATGTGTGAGTTCAACCCACAGAGTAAAACTTTACTTTTGATAGAGCGGTTTTGAAACACTCTTTTTGTAGTATTTGCATGTGTATATTTAGAGCGCATTGAAGCCCACAGTAGAAAAGGAAATAACTTCACCTAAAACCTAGACAGAAGCAATCTCAGAAACTACTTTGTGATGTGTACATTCAACTCACAGAGTGGAACTTTTCTCTTTATAGAGCAGTGTTGAAACACTCTTTTTGTAGAAACTGCAAGTGGATATTTGGACCTCTTTGAGGCCTTCGTTGGAAACGGGATTTCTTCCTATAACCCTAGACAGAAGAATTTTCAGAAACCTCATTGTGATGTGTGCGTTCAGCTCACAGAGTGGAGTCTTCCGTTTGATAGAGAAGTTTTGAAACCCTGTTCTTGTAGGATTTCCAAGTGGATATTTAGACCACTTTGAAGCCTATGATAGAAAAGGAAACATCTTCATGGAAAACATAGATAGAATCATTCTCAGAAACAACTTTGTGATGTGTGCGTTGAACTCACCGTCTTTAACCTTTCTTTTGGTAGAGAAGTTTTGAAACACTCTCTTTGTAAAGTCTACAAGTGGATATTTTGAGCCCTTGGAGGCATTCTTTGGAAAAGAGAATGTCTTCACATAAAAGGCAGACAGAAGTGTTCTCAGAAACTGCTTTGTGATGTCTGTGTTCAACTCACAGAGTTTAACATTTCCTTTGAGAGAGCGGTTTAGTAACACTCTGTTTGTAGAATTTGGAAGTGTATACTAAGAGCGCTTTGAGGCCTATGGTAGAAAAGGAAATATCTTTCCATAAAAGCTAGACAGAAGCAATCTCAGAAACTCCTTTGTGATGTCTGCATTCAACTCACCGAGTGGAACATTCCTCTTGATAGAGCAGTTTGGAAACACTCTTTCTGTAGAATCAGCTTGTTTGTATTTGGACCTCCTTGAGGCCTTCGTTGGAAACGGGTTTTCATCTTATAAACCCAGACAGAAGAATTCTCAGAGTCTTCTTTGTGATGTGTGCTTTCAACTCACCGAGATAAAGATTTCTCTTGATAGAGCAATTTGGAAACACTCTTTTTGTAGAATTTGCAAGGGTACATTGAGAGCGCTTTCAGGCCTATGGTAGAAAAGGGAATATCTTTCCATAAAAGGTAGACAGAAGCAATCTCAGAAACTACTTTGTGATGTGTGCATTCAACTCACCGAGTGCAACATTCCTCTTGATAGAGCAGTTTGGAAACATTGTTTCTGTAGAATCTGCAAGTGGATATATGGACCGGCTTTGAGGCCTTCGTTGGAAACGGGATTTCTTCCTATAAACCCAGACAGAAGAATTCTCAGAGATTTCTTTGTGATGTGTGAATTCAACTCACAGTGTGGATCCTTCCTTTTGATAGAGCAGTTTTGAAACACTGTTTTTGTAGTATTTCCAAGCAGATATTTGGAACGCCTTGAAGCGTATAGTAGAAAAGGAAATATCTTCCCATAAAACCTAGACAGAACCCATCTCAGAAACGACTTTGTGATGTCTGCATTCAACTCACAGAGTTGAACATTTCTCTTGATAGAGCAGTTTTGAAACCCTCTTTCTGAAGGATCTGCAAGTGGATATTTGGAACTCCTTTGGGTCTTCGTTGGAAACGGGATTTCTTCGTATAAATCCAGACAGAAGAATTCTCCGAAACTTCTTTGGTTGTGTGCATTCAAGTCACAGAGTGGAACCTTCCTTTGGATAGAGCAGTTTGAAACGCTGTGGTTGTAGTATTTCCAAGCGGATATTAGAGCGCCTTGAGGCCTATGGTAGAAAAGGAAATATCTTCCCATAAAACCTAGACGGAAGCAATCTCAGAAACTACTGTGTGACGGCTGCATTCCACACACACGGTGGAACATTTCTCTTGATAGAGCAGTTTTGAAACACTCTTTCTGTAGAATCTGCAAGTGGATAATTGGACCGCCTTGAGGCCTTCGTTGGAAACGGGATTTCTTCATGTTACTCTAGATAGAAGAATTCTCAAACACTACTATGTGATGTTTGCATTCAAGTCACAGAGTGCAACATTCCTCTTGATAGAGCAGTTGGGAAACACTCCTTTTGTGGAATCTGCAATGGGATATTTGGACTTCTTTGAGGCCTTCGTTGGAAACGGGATTTCTTCGTATGAATCTAGACAGAAGAATTCTCAGAAACTTCTTTGTAATGTGTGCATTCAACTCAGCGAGTGGCACCTTCCTTTGGATACAGCAGTTTTGAAACACTGTTTTTGTAGTATTTCCAAGCGGATATTTAGAGCGCCTTGAAGCCTACGCTAGAAATGGAAATATCTCCCCATAAAACCAAGACAGAAGCAATCTCAGAAACTAATGTGTGATGGCTGCATTCCACACACACGGTGGACCATTTCTCTTGATAGAGCAGTTTTGAAACACTCTTTCTGTAGAATCTGCAAGTGGATAATTGGACCTCCTAGAGGCCTTCGTTGGAAACGGGATTTCTTCATCTAAACCTACAGAGAAGAATTCTCAGTAACTTCTTCGGATGTGTGCATTCGACTCACAGAGTGGAACATTCCCTTCGATAGAGCAGTTTTGAGACACCGTTTTGGTAGAATTCCCAAGTGGATATTTAGAGCACTTTGAAGTCTCTGCTAGAAAAGGAAACATCTTCATGTAAAAAGTAGATAGAATCGTTCTCAGAAAGTGCTTAGTGACGTGTGCGTTCAACTCACAGAGTTTAACGTTTCTTTTGATAGAGCGTTTCTGAAACACCCTTCTTGTAGTAGCTGCAAGTGGATATTTGGACCTATTTGAGGCCTTCTTTGGAAACGGGATTTCTTCATGTAACTCTAGATTGAAGAATTTTCAGAAACTCCTTTGTGATGTGTGCATTCAATTCAAAGAGTGAAACCTCCCTTTTCACAGAGCAGTTTTGAAACACTGTTTTTGTAGGATTTCCAAGGGGATATTTATAGCGCATTGAGCCTATGGCAGAAAAAGAAACATCTTCCTATAAAAACTAGACAGAATAATTCTCAGAATCTGCTTTGCGATGTGTGCGTTCAACCCACAGAGTAAAACTTTTCTTTTGATAGAGCAGTTTTGAAACACTCTTTTTGTAGTATTTGCATGTGTATATTTAGAGCGCATTGAAGCCCACAGTAGAAAAGGAAATAACTTCACCTAAAACCTAGACAGAAGCAATCTCAGAAACTACTTTGTGATGTGTACATTCAACTCACAGAGTGGAACTTTCCCCTTTACAGAGCAGTGTTGAAACACTCTTTTTGTAGAAACTGCAGGTGGATATTTGGACCTCTTTGAGGCCTTCTTTGGAAACGGGATTTCTTCCTATAACCCTAGACAGAAGAATTTTCAGAAACCTCATTGTGATGTGTGCGTTCATCTCACAGAGTGGAGTATTCCGTTTGATAGAGAAGTTTTGAAACCCTGTTCTTGTAGGATTTCCAAGTGGATATTTAGACCACTTTGAAGCCTATGATAGAAAAGGAAACATCTTCATGGAAAACATAGATAGAATCATTGTCAGAAACAACTTTGTGATGTGTGCATTGAACTCACCGTCTTTAACCTTTCTTTTGGTAGAGAAGTTTTGAAACACTCTCTTTGTAAAGTCTACAAGTGGATATTTTGAGCCCTTGGAGGCATTCTTTGGAAAAGGGAATGTCTTCACATAAAAGGCAGACAGAAGTGTTCTCAGAAACTGCTTTGTGATGTCTGTGTTCAACTCACAGAGTTTAACATTTCCTTTGAGAGAGCGGTTTAGTAACACTCTCTTTGTAGAATTTGGAAGTGTATACTAAGAGCGCTTTGAGGCCTATGGTAGAAAAGGAAATATCTTTCCATAAAAGCTAGACAGAAGCAATCTCAGAAACTCCTTTGTGATGTCTGCATTCAACTCACCGAGTGGAACATTCCTCTTGATAGAGCAGTTTGGAAACACTCTTTCTGTAGAATCAGCTTGTTTGTATTTGGACCTCCTTGAGGCCTTCGTTGGAAACGGGTTTTCATCTTATAAACCCAGACAGAAGAATTCTCAGAGTCTTCTTTGTGATGTGTGCTTTCAACTCACCGAGATAAAGATTTCTCTTGATAGAGCAATTTGGAAACACTCTTTTTGTAGAATTTGCAAGGGTACATTGAGAGCGCTTTCAGGCCTATGGTAGAAAAGGGAATATCTTTCCATAAAAGGTAGACAGAAGCAATCTCAGAAACTACTTTGTGATGTGTGCATTCAACTCACCGAGTGCAACATTCCTCTTGACCGAGCAGTTTGGAAACATTGTTTCTGTAGAATCTGCAAGTGGATATATGGACCGCTTTGAGGCCTTCGTTGGAAACGGGATTTCTTCCTATAAACCCAGACAGAAGAATTCTCAGAGATTTCTTTGTGATGTGTGAATTCAACTCACAGTGTGGATCCCTTCCTTTTGATAGAGCAGTTTTGAAACACTGTTTTTGTAGTATTTCCAAGCGGATATTTGGAACGCCTTGAAGCGTATGGTAGAAAAGGAAATATCTTCCCATAAAACCTAGACAGAACCAATCTCAGAAACGACTTTGTGATGTCTGCATTCAACTCACAGAGTTGAACATTTCTCTTGATAGAGCAGTTTTGAAACCCTCTTTCTGAAGGATCTGCAAGTGGATATTTGGAACTCCTTTGGGTCTTCGTTGGAAACGGGATTTCTTCGTATAAATCTAGACAGAAGAATTCTCCGAAACTTCTTTGGTTGTGTGCATTCAAGTCACAGAGTGGAACCTTCCTTTGGATAGAGCAGTTTGAAACGCTGTGGTTGTAGTATTTCCAAGCGGATATTAGAGCGCCTTGAAGCCTATGGTAGAAAAGGAAATATCTTCCCATAAAACCTAGACGGAAGCAATCTCAGAAACTACTGTGTGATGGCTGCATTCCACACACACGGTGGAACATTTCTCTTGATAGAGCAGTTTTGAAACACTCTTTCTGTAGAATCTGCAAGTGGATAATTGGACCGCCTTGAGGCCTTCGTTGGAAACGGGATTTCTTCATGTTACTCTAGACAGAAGAATTCTCAAACACTACAATGTGATGTTTGCATTCAAGTCACAGAGTGCCACATTCCTCTTGATAGAGCAGTTGGGAAACACTCCTTTTGTAGAATCTGCAATGGGATATTTGGACTTGTTTGAGGCCTTCGTTGGAAACGGGATTTCTTCGTATGAATCTAGACAGAAGAATTCTCAGAAACTTCCTTGTGATGTGTGCATTCAACTCAGCGAGTGGCACCTTCCTTTGGATACAGCTGTTTTGAAACACTGTTTTTGTACTATTTCCAAGCGGATATTTAGAGCGCCTTGAAGCCTATGCTAGAAATGGAAATATCTCCCCATAAAACCAAGACAGAAGCAATCTCAGAAACTAATGTGTGATGGCTGCATTCCACACACACGGTGGACCATTTCTCTTGATAGAGCAGTTTTGAAACACTCTTTCTGTAGAATCTGCAAGTGGATAATTGGACCTCCTAGAGGCCTTCGTTGGAAACGGGATTTCTTCATCTAAACCTACAGAGAAGAATTCTCAGTAACTTCTTCGGATGTGTGCATTCGACTCACAGAATGGAACATTCCCTTTGATAGAGCAGTTTTGAGACACCGTTTTTGTAGAATTCCCAAGTGGATATTTAGAGCACTTTGAAGTCTCTGCTAGAAAAGGAAACATCTTCATGTAAAAAGTAGATAGAATCGTTCTCAGAAAGTGCTTAGTGACGTGTGTGTTCAACTCACAGAGTTTAACGTTTCTTTTGATAGAGCGTTTCTGAAACACCCTGCTTGTAGTAGCTGCAAGTGGATATTTGGACCTATTTGAGGCCTTCTTTGGAAACGGGATTTCTTCATGTAACTCTAGTTTGAAGAATTTTCAGAAACTCCTTTGTGATGTGTGCATTCAATTCAAAGAGTGAAACCTCCCTTTTCACAGAGCAGTTTTGAAACACTGTTTTTGTAGGATTTCCAAGGGGATATTTATAGCGCATTGAGCCTATGGCAGAAAAAGAAACATCTTCCTATAAAAACTAGACAGAATAATTCTCAGAATCTGCTTTGCGATGTGTGCGTTCAACCCACAGAGTAAAACTTTTCTTTGGATAGAGCAGTTTTGAAACACTCTTTTTGTAGTATTTGCATGTGTATATTTAGAGCGCATTGAAGCCCACAGTAGAAAAGGAAATAACTTCACCTAAAACCTAGACAGAAAGCAATCTCAGAAACTACTTTGTGATGTGTACATTCAACTCACAGAGTGGAACTTTCCTCTTTATAGAGCAGTGTTGAAACACTCTTTTTGTAGAAACTGCAAGTGGATATTTGGACCTCTTTGAGGCCTTCGTTGGAAACGGGATTTCTTCCTATAACCCTAGACAGAAGAATTTTCAGAAACCTCATTGTGATGTGTGCGTTCATCTCACAGAGTGGAGTCTTCCGTTTGATAGAGAAGTTTTGAAACCCTGTTCTTGTAGGATTTCCAAGTGGATATTTAGACCACTTTGAAGCCTATGATAGAAAAGGAAACATCTTCATGGAAAACATAGATAGAATCATTCTCAGAAACAACTTTGTGATGTGTGCGTTGAACTCACCGTCTTTAACCTTTCTTTTGGTAGAGAAGTTTTGAAACACTCTCTTTGTAAAGTCTACAAGTGGATATTTTGAGCCCTTGGAGGCATTCTTTGGAAAAGGGAATGTCTTCACATAAAAGGCAGACAGAAGTGTTCTCAGAAACTGCTTTGTGATGTCTGTGTTCAACTCACAGAGTTTAACATTTCCTTTGAGAGAGCGGTTTAGTAACACTCTCTTTGTAGAATTTGGAAGTGTATACTAAGAGCGCTTTGAGGCCTATGGTAGAAAAGGAAATATCTTTCCATAAAAGCTAGACAGAAGCAATCTCAGAAACTCCTTTGTGATGTCTGCATTCAACTCACCGAGTGGAACATTCCTCTTGATAGAGCAGTTTGGAAACACTCTTTCTGTAGAATCAGCTTGTTTGTATTTGGACCTCCTTGAGGCCTTCGTTGGAAACGGGTTTTCATCTTATAAACCCAGACAGAAGAATTCTCAGAGTCTTCTTTGTGATGTGTGCTTTCAACTCACCGAGATAAAGATTTCTCTTGATAGAGCAATTTGGAAACACTCTTTTTGTAGAATTTGCAAGGGTACATTGAGAGCGCTTTCAGGCCTATGGTAGAAAAGGGAATATCTTTCCATAAAAGGTAGACAGAAGCAATCTCAGAAACTACTTTGTGATGTGTGCATTCAACTCACCGAGTGCAACATTCCTCTTGATAGAGCAGTTTGGAAACATTGTTTCTGTAGAATCTGCAAGTGGATATATGGACCGCTTTGAGGCCTTCGTTGGAAACGGGATTTCTTCCTATAAACCCAGACAGAAGAATTCTCAGAGACTTCTTTGTGATGTGTGAATTCAACTCACAGTGTGGATCCTTCCTTTTGATAGAGCAGTTTTGAAACACTGTTTTTGTAGTATTTCCAAGCGGATATTTGGAACGCCTTGAAGCGTATGGTAGAAAAGGAAATATCTTCCCATAAAACCTAGACAGAACCCATCTCAGAAACGACTTTGTGATGTCTGCATTCAACTCACAGAGTTGAACATTTCTCTTGATAGAGCAGTTTTGAAACCCTCTTTCTGAAGGATCTGCAAGGGGATATTTGGAACTCCTTTGGGTCTTCGTTGGAAACGGGATTTCTTCGTATAAATCCAGACAGAAGAATTCTCCGAAACTTCTTTGGTTGTGTGCATTCAAGTCACAGAGTGGAACCTTCCTTTGGATAGAGCAGTTTGAAACGCTGTGGTTGTAGTATTTCCAAGCGGATATTAGAGCGCCTTGAGGCCTATGGTAGAAAAGGAAATATCTTCCCATAAAACCTAGACGGAAGCAATCTCAGAAACTACTGTGTGATGGCTGCATTCCACACACACGGTGGAACATTTCTCTTGATAGAGCAGTTTTGAAACACTCTTTCTGTAGAATCTGCAAGTGGATAATTGGACCGCCTTGAGGCCTTCGTTGGAAACGGGATTTCTTCATGTTACTCTAGACAGAAGAATTCTCAAACACTGCTATGTGATGTTTGCATTCAAGTCACAGAGTGCAACATTCCTCTTGATAGAGCAGTTGGGAAACACTCCTTTTGTAGAATTTGCAATGGGATATTTGGACTTCTTTGAGGCCTTCGTTGGAAACGGGATTTCTTCGTATGAATCTAGACAGAAGAATTCTCAGAAACTTCCTTGTGATGTGTGCATTCAACTCAGCGAGTGGCACCTTCCTTTGGATACAGCAGTTTTGAAACACTGTTTTTGTAGTATTTCCAAGCGGATATTTAGAGCGCCTTGAAGCCTATGCTAGAAATGGAAATATCTCCCCATAAAACCAAGACAGAAGCAATCTCAGAAACTAATGTGTGATGGCTGCATTCCACACACACGGTGGACCATTTCTCTTGATAGAGCAGTTTTGAAACACTCTTTCTGTAGAATCTGCAAGTGGATAATTGGACCTCCTAGAGGCCTTCGTTGGAAACGGGATTTCTTCATCTAAACCTACAGAGAAGAATTCTCAGTAACTTCTTCGGATGTGTGCATTCGACTCACAGAATGGAACATTCCCTTTGATAGAGCAGTTTTGAGACACCGTTTTTGTAGAATTCCCAAGTGGATATTTAGAGCACTTTGAAGTCTCTGCTAGAAAAGGAAACATCTTCATGTAAAAAGTAGATAGAATCGTTCTCAGAAAGTGCTTAGTGACGTGTGCGTTCAACTCACAGAGTTTAACGTTTCTTTTGATAGAGTGTTTCTGAAACACCCTTCTTGTAGTAGCTGCAAGTAGATATTTGGACCTATTTGAGGCCTTCTTTGGAAACGGGATTTCTTCATGTAACTCTAGATTGAAGAATTTTCAGAAACTCCTTTGTGATGTATGCATTCAATTCAAAGAGTGAAACCTCCCTTTTCACAGAGCAGTTTTGAAACACTGTTTTTGTAGGATTTCCAAGGGGATATTTATAGCGCATTGAGCCTACGGCAGAAAAAGAAACATCTTCCTATAAAAACTAGACAGAATAATTCTCAGAATCTGCTTTGCGATGTGTGCGTTCAACCCACAGTATTAAAACTTTTCTTTTGATAGAACAGTTTTGAAACACTCTTTTTGTAGTATTTGCATGTGTATATTGAGAGCGCATTGAAGCCCACAGTAGAAAAGGAAATAACTTCACCTAAAACCTAGACAGAAGCAATCTCAGAAACTACTTTGTGATGTGTACATTCAACTCACAGAGTGGAACTTTCCCCTTTACAGAGCAGTGTTGAAACACTCTTTTTGTAGAAACTGCAGGTGGATATTTGGACCTCTTAGAGGCCTTCGCTGGAAACGGGATTTCTTCCTATAACCCTAGACAGAAGAATTTTCAGAAACCTCATTGTGATGTGTGCGTTCATCTCACAGAGTGGAGTCTTCCGTTTGATAGAGAAGTTTTGAAACCCTGTTCTTGTAGGATTTCCAAGTGGATATTTAGACCACTTTGAAGCCTATGATAGAAAAGGAAACATCTTCATGGAAAACATAGATAGAATCATTCTCAGAAACAACTTTGTGATGTGTGCGTTGAACTCACCGTCTTTAACCTTTCTTTTGGTAGAGAAGTTTTGAAACACTCTCTTTGTAAAGTCTACGAGTGGATATTTTGAGCCCTTGGAGGCATTCTTTGGAAAAGGGAATGTCTTCACATAAAAGGCAGACAGAAGTGTTCTCAGAAACTGCTTTGTGATATCTGTGTTCAACTCACAGAGTTTAACATTTCCTGTGATAGAGAGGATTAGTAACCCTCTCTTTGTAGAATTTGGAAGTGTATACTAAGAGCGCTTTGAGGCCTATGGTAGAAAAGGAAATATCTTTCCATAAAAGCTAGACAGAAGCAATCTCAGAAACTCCTTTGTGATGTCTGCATTCAACTCACCGAGTGGAACATTCCTCTTGATAGAGCAGTTTGGAAACACTCTTTCTGTAGAATCAGCTTGTTTGTATTTGGACCTCCTTGAGGCCTTCGTTGGAAACGGGTTTTCATCTTATAAACCCAGACAGAAGAATTCTCAGAGTCTTCTTTGTGATGTGTGCTTTCAACTCACCGAGATAAAGATTTCTCTTGATAGAGCAATTTGGAAACACTCTTTTCGTAGAATTTGCAAGGGTACATTGAGAGCGCTTTCAGGCCTATGGTAGAAAAGGGAATATCTTTCCATCAAAGGTAGACAGAAGCAATCTCAGAAACTACTTTGTGATGTGTGCATTCAACTCACCGAGTGCAACATTCCTCTTGATAGAGCAGTTTGGAAACATTGTTTCTGTAGAATCTGCAAGTGGATATATGGACCGCTTTGAGGCCTTCGTTGGAAACGGGATTTCTTCCTATAAACCCAGACAGAAGAATTCTCAGAGATTTCTTTGTGATGTGTGAATTCAACTCACAGTGTGGATACTTCCTTTTGATAGAGCAGTTTTGAAACACCGTTTTTGTGGTATTTCCAAGCGGATATTTGGAACGCCTTGAAGCGTATGGTAGAAAAGGAAATATCTTCCCATAAAACCTAGACAGAACCCATCTCAGAAACGACTTTGTGATGTCTGCATTCAACTCGCAGAGTTGAACATTTCTCTTGATAGAGCAGTTTTGAAACCCTCTTTCTGAAGGATCTGCAAGTGGATATTTGGAACTCCTTTGGGTCTTCGTTGGAAACGGGATTTCTTCGTATAAATCCAGACAGAAGAATTCTCCGAAACTTCTTTGGTTGTGTGCATTCAAGTCACAGAGTGGAACCTTCCTTTGGATAGAGCAGTTTGAAACGCTGTGGTTGTAGTATTTCCAAGCGGATATTAGAGCGCCTTGAGGCCTATGGTAGAAAAGGAAATATCTTCCCATAAAACCTAGACGGAAGCAATCTCAGAAACTACTGTGTGGTGGCTGCATTCCACACACACGGTGGAACATTTCTCTTGATAGAGCAGTTTTGAAACACTCTTTCTGTAGAATCTGCAAGTGGATAATTGGACCGCCTTGAGGCCTTCGTTGGAAACGGGATTTCTTCATGTTACTCTAGACAGAAGAATTCTCAAACACTGCTATGTGATGTTTGCATTCAAGTCACAGAGTGCAACATTCCTCTTGATAGAGCAGTTGGGAAACACTCCTTTTGTAGAATTTGCAATGGGATATTTGGACTTCTTTGAGGCCTTCGTTGGAAACGGGATTTCTTCGTATGAATCTAGACAGAAGAATTCTCAGAAACTTCCTTGTGATGTGTGCATTCAACTCAGCGAGTGGCACCTTCCTTTGGATACAGCAGTTTTGAAACACTGTTTTTGTAGTATTTCCAAGCGGATATTTAGAGCGCCTTGAAGCCTATGCTAGAAATGGAAATATCTCCCCATAAAACCAAGACAGAAGCAATCTCAGAAACTAATGTGTGATGGCTGCATTCCACACACACGGTGGACCATTTCTCTTGATAGAGCAGTTTTGAAACACTCTTTCTGTAGAATCTGCAAGTGGATAATTGGACCTCCTAGAGGCCTTCGTTGGAAACGGGATTTCTTCATCTAAACCTACAGAGAAGAATTCTCAGTAACTTCTTCGGATGTGTGCATTCGACTCACAGAATGGAACATTCCCTTTGATAGAGCAGTTTTGAGACACCGTTTTTGTAGAATTCCCAAGTGGATATTTAGAGCACTTTGAAGTCTCTGCTAGAAAAGGAAACATCTTCATGTAAAAAGTAGATAGAATCGTTCTCAGAAAGTGCTTAGTGACGTGTGCGTTCAACTCACAGAGTTTAACGTTTCTTTTGATAGAGCGTTTCTGAAACACCCTTCTTGTAGTAGCTGCAAGTGGATATTTGGACCTATTTGAGGCCTTCTTTGGAAACGGGATTTCTTCATGTAACTCTAGTTTGAAGAATTTTCAGAAACTCCTTTGTGATGTGTGCATTCAATTCAAAGAGTGAAACCTCCCTTTTCACAGAGCAGTTTTGAAACACTGTTTTTGTAGGATTTCCAAGGGGATATTTATAGCGCATTGATCCTATGGCAGAAAAAGAAACATCTTCCTATAAAAACTAGACAGAATAATTCTCAGCAATCTGCTTTGCGATGTGTGCGTTCAACCCACAGAGTAAAACTTTTCTTTTGATAGAGCAGTTTTGAAACACTCTTTTTGTAGTATTTGCATGTGTATATTTAGAGCGCATTGAAGCCCACAGTAGAAAAGGAAATAACTTCACCTAAAACCTAGACAGAAGCAATCTCAGAAACTACTTTGTGATGTGTACATTCAACTCACAGGAGTGGAACTTTTCTCTTTATAGAGCAGTGTTGAAACACTCTTTTTGTAGAAACTGCAAGTGGATATTTGGACCTCTTTGAGGCCTTCGTTGGAAACGGGATTTCTTCCTATAACCCTAGACAGAAGAATTTTCAGAAACCTCATTGTGATGTGTGCGTTCATCTCACAGAGTGGAGTCTTCCGTTTGATAGAGAAGTTTTGAAACCCTGTTCTTGTAGGATTTCCAAGTGGATATTTAGACCACTTTGAAGCCTATGATAGAAAAGGAAACATCTTCATGGAAAACATAGATAGAATCATTCTCAGAAACAACTTTGTGATGTGTGCGTTGAACTCACCGTCTTTAACCTTTCTTTTGGTAGAGAAGTTTTGAAACACTCTCTTTGTAAAGTCTACAAGTGGATATTTTGAGCCCTTGGAGGCATTCTTTGGAAAAGGGAATGTCTTCACATAAAAGGCAGACAGAAGTGTTCTCAGAAACTGCTTTGTGATGTCTGTGTTCAACTCACAGAGTTTAACATTTCCTTTGAGAGAGCGGTTTAGTAACACTCTCTTTGTAGAATTTGGAAGTGTATACTAAGAGCGCTTTGAGGCCTATGGTAGAAAAGGAAATATCTTTCCATAAAAGCTAGACAGAAGCAATCTCAGAAACTCCTTTGTGATGTCTGCATTCAACTCACCGAGTGGAACATTCCTCTTGATAGTGCAGTTTGGAAACACTCTTTCTGTAGAATCAGCTTGTTTGTATTTGGACCTCCTTGAGGCCTTCGTTGGAAACGGGTTTTCATCTTATAAACCCAGACAGAAGAATTCTCAGAGTCTTCTTTGTGATGTGTGCTTTCAACTCACCGAGATAAAGATTTCTCTTGATAGAGCAATTTGGAAACACTCTTTTTGTAGAATTTGCAAGGGTACATTGAGAGCGCTTTCAGGCCTATGGTAGAAAAGGGAATATCTTTCCATAAAAGGTAGACAGAAGCAATCTCAGAAACTACTTTGTGATGTGTGCATTCAACTCACCGAGTGCAACATTCCTCTTGACCGAGCAGTTTGGAAACATTGTTTCTGTAGAATCTGCAAGTGGATATTTGGACCTCTTTGAGGCCTTCGTTGGAAACGGGATTTCTTCCTATAAACCCAGACAGAAGAATTCTCAGAGATTTCTTTGTGATGTGTGAATTCAACTCACAGTGTGGATCCCTCCTTTTGATAGAGCAGTTTTGAAACACCGTTTTTGTAGTATTTCCAAGCGGATATTTGGAACGCCTTGAAGCGTATGGTAGAAAAGGAAATATCTTCCCATAAAACCTAGACGGAACCAATCTCAGAAACGACTTTGTGATGTCTGCATTCAACTCACAGAGTTGAACATTTCTCTTGATAGAGCAGTTTTGAAACCCTCTTTCTGAAGGATCTGCAAGTGGATATTTGGAACTCCTTTGGGTCTTCGTTGGAAACGGGATTTCTTCGTATAAATCCAGACAGAAGAATTCTCCGAAACTTCTTTGGTTGTGTGCATTCAAGTCACAGAGTGGAACCTTCCTTTGGATAGAGCAGTTTGAAACGCTGTGGTTGTAGTATTTCCAAGCGGATATTAGAGCGCCTTGAGGCCTATGGTAGAAAAGGAAATATCTTCCCATAAAACCTAGACGGAAGCAATCTCAGAAACTACTGTGTGATGGCTGCATTCCACACACACGGTGGAACATTTCTCTTGATAGAGCAGTTTTGAAACACTCTTTCTGTAGAATCTGCAAGTGGATAATTGGACCGCCTTGAGGCCTTCGTTGGAAACGGGATTTCTTCATGTTACTCTAGACAGAAGAATTCTCAAACACTGCTGTGTGATGTTTGCATGCAAGTCACAGAGTGCAACATTCCTCTTGATAGAGCAGTTGGGAAACACTCCTTTTGTAGAATTTGCAATGGGATATTTGGACTTCTTTGAGGCCTTCGTTGGAAACGGGATTTCTTCGTATGAATCTAGACAGAAGAATTCTCAGAAACTTCCTTGTGATGTGTGCATTCAACTCAGCGAGTGGCACCTTCCTTTGGATACAGCAGTTTTGAAACACTGTTTTTGTACTATTTCCAAGCGGATATTTAGAGCGCCTTGAAGCCTATGCTAGAAATGGAAATATCTCCCCATAAAACCAAGACAGAAGCCATCTCAGAAACTAATGTGTGATGGCTGCATTCCACACACACGGTGGCCCATTTCTCTTGATAGAGCAGTTTTGAAACACTCTTTCTGTAGAATCTGCAAGTGGATAATTGGACCTCCTACAGGCCTTCATTGGAAACGGGATTTCTTCATCTAAACCTACAGAGAAGAATTCTCAGTAACTTCTTCGGATGTGTGCATTCGACTCACAGAATGGAACATTCCCTTTGATAGAGCAGTTTTGAGACACCGTTTTTGTAGAATTCCCAAGTGGATATTTAGAGCACTTTGAAGTCTCTGCTAGAAAAGGAAACATCTTCATGTAAAAAGTAGATAGAATCGTTCTCAGAAAGTGCTTAGTGACGTGTGCGTTCAACTCACAGAGTTTAACGTTTCTTTTGATAGAGCGTTTCTGAAACACCCTTCTTGTAGTAGCTGCAAGTGGATATTTGGACCTATTTGAGGCCTTCTTTGGAAACGGGATTTCTTCATGTAACTCTAGATTGAAGAATTTTCAGAAACTCCTTTGTGATGTGTGCATTCAATTCAAAGAGTGAAACCTCCCTTTTCACAGAGCAGTTTTGAAACACTGTTTTTGTAGGATTTCCAAGGGGATATTTATAGCGCATTGAGCCTATGGCAGAAAAAGAAACATCTTCCTATAAAAACTAGACAGAATAATTCTCAGAATCTGCTTTGCGATGTGTGCGTTCAACCCACAGAGTAAAACTTTTCTTTTGATAGAGCAGTTTTGAAACACTCTTTTTGTAGTATTTGCATGTGTATATTTAGAGCGCATTGAAGCCCACAGTAGAAAAGGAAATAACTTCACCTAAAACCTAGACAGAAGCAATCTCAGAAACTACTTTGTGATGTGTACATTCAACTCACAGAGTGGAACTTTCCTCTTTATAGAGCAGTGTTGAAACACTCTTTTTGTAGAAACTGCAAGTGGATATTTGGACCTCTTTGAGGCCTTCGTTGGAAACGGGATTTCTTCCTATAACCCTAGACAGAAGAATTTTCAGAAACCTCATTGTGATGTGTGCGTTCATCTCACAGAGTGGAGTCTTCCGTTTGATAGAGAAGTTTTGAAACCCTGTTCTTGTAGGATTTCCAAGTGGATATTTAGACCACTTTGAAGCCTATGATAGAAAAGGAAACATCTTCATGGAAAACATAGATAGAATCATTCTCAGAAACAACTTTGTGATGTGTGCGTTGAACTCACCGTCTTTAACCTTTCTTTTGGTAGAGAAGTTTTGAAACACTCTCTTTGTAAAGTCTACAAGTGGATATTTTGAGCCCTTGGAGGCATTCTTTGGAAAAGGGAATGTCTTCACATAAAAGGCAGACAGAAGTGTTCTCAGAAACTGCTTTGTGATGTCTGTGTTCAACTCACAGAGTTTAACATTTCCTTTGAGAGAGCGGTTTAGTAACACTCTCTTTGTAGAATTTGGAAGTGTATACTAAGAGCGCTTTGAGGCCTATGGTAGAAAAGGAAATATCTTTCCATAAAAGCTAGACAGAAGCAATCTCAGAAACTCCTTTGTGATGTCTGCATTCAACTCACCGAGTGGAACATTCCTCTTGATAGAGCAGTTTGGAAACACTCTTTCTGTAGAATCAGCTTGTTTGTATTTGGACCTCCTTGAGGCCTTCGTTGGAAACGGGTTTTCATCTTATAAACCCAGACAGAAGAATTCTCAGAGTCTTCTTTGTGATGTGTGCTTCCAACTCACCGAGATAAAGATTTTTCTTGATAGAGCAATTTGGAAACACTCTTTTTGTAGAATTTGCAAGGGTACATTGAGAGCGCTTTCAGGCCTATGGTAGAAAAGGGAATATCTTTCCATAAAAGGTAGACAGAAGCAATCTCAGAAACTACTTTGTGATGTGTGCATTCAACTCACCGATTGCAACGTTCCTCTTGATAGAGCAGTTTGGAAACATTGTTTCTGTAGAATCTGCAAGTGGATATTTGGACCTCTTTGAGGCCTTCGTTGGAAACGGGATTTCTTCCTATAAACCCAGACAGAAGAATTCTCAGAGACTTCTTTGTGATGTGTGAATTCAACTCACAGTGTGGATCCTTCCTTTTGATAGAGCAGTTTTGAAACACTGTTTTTGTAGTATTTCCAAGCGGATATTTGGAACGCCTTGAAGCGCATGGTAGAAAAGGAAATATCTTCCCATAAAACCTAGACAGAACCCATCTCAGAAACGACTTTGTGATGTCTGCATTCAACTCACAGAGTTGAACATTTCTCTTGATAGAGCAGTTTTGAAACCCTCTTTCTGAAGGATCTGCAAGTGGATATTTGGAACTCCTTTGGGTCTTCGTTGGAAACGGGATTTCTTCGTATAAATCCAGACAGAAGAATTCTCCGAAACTTCTTTGGTTGTGTGCATTCAAGTCACAGAGTGGAACCTTCCTTTGGATAGAGCAGTTTGAAACGCTGTGGTTGTAGTATTTCCAAGCGGATATTAGAGCGCCTTGAGGCCTATGGTAGAAAAGGAAATATCTTCCCATAAAACCTAGACGGAAGCAATCTCAGAAACTACTGTGTGATGGCTGCATTCCACACACACGGTGGAACATTTCTCTTGATAGAGCAGTTTTGAAACACTCTTTCTGTAGAATCTGCAAGTGGATAATTGGACCGCCTTGAGGCCTTCGTTGGAAACGGGATTTCTTCATGTTACTCTAGACAGAAGAATTCTCAAACACTGCTATGTGATGTTTGCATTCAAGTCACAGAGTGCAACATTCCTCTTGATAGAGCAGTTGGGAAACACTCCTTTTGTAGAATTTGCAATGGGATATTTGGACTTCTTTGAGGCCTTCGTTGGAAACGGGATTTCTTCGTATGAATCTAGACAGAAGAATTCTCAGAAACTTCCTTGTGATGTGTGCATTCAACTCAGCGAGTGGCACCTTCCTTTGGATACAGCAGTTTTGAAACACTGTTTTTGTAGTATTTCCAAGCGGATATTTAGAGCGCCTTGAAGCCTATGCTAGAAATGGAAATATCTCCCCATAAAACCAAGACAGAAGCAATCTCAGAAACTAATGTGTGATGGCTGCATTCCACACACACGGTGGACCATTTCTCTTGATAGAGCAGTTTTGAAACACTCTTTCTGTAGAATCTGCAAGTGGATAATTGGACCTCCTAGAGGCCTTCGTTGGAAATGGGATTTCTTCATCTAAACCTACAGAGAAGAATTCTCAGTAACTTCTTCGGATGTGTGCATTCGACTCACAGAATGGAACATTCCCTTTGATAGAGCAGTTTTGAGACACCGTTTTTGTAGAATTCCCAAGTGGATATTTAGAGCACTTTGAAGTCTCTGCTAGAAAAGGAAACATCTTCATGTAAAAAGTAGATAGAATCGTTCTCAGAAAGTGCTTAGTGACGTGTGTGTTCAACTCACAGAGTTTAACGTTTCTTTTGATAGAGCGTTTCTGAAACACCCTTCTTGTAGTAGCTGCAAGTGGATATTTGGACCTATTTGAGGCCTTCTTTGGAAACGGGATTTCTTCATGTAACTCTAGTTTGAAGAATTTTCAGAAACTCCTTTGTGATGTGTGCATTCAATTCAAAGAGTGAAACGTCCCTTTTCACAGAGCAGTTTTGAAACACTGTTTTTGTAGGATTTCCAAGGGGATATTTATAGCGCATTGAGCCTACGGCAGAAAAAGAAACATCTTCCTATAAAAACTAGACAGAATAATTCTCAGAATCTGCTTTGCGATGTGTGCGTTCAACCCACAGAGTAAAACTTTTCTTTTGATAGAGCAGTTTTGAAACACTCTTTTTGTAGTATTTGCATGTGTATATTTAGAGCGCATTGAAGCCCACAGTAGAAAAGGAAATAACTTCACCTAAAACCTAGACAGAAGCAATCTCAGAAACTACTTTGTGATGTGTACATTCAACTCACAGAGTGGAACTTTCCTCTTTATAGAGCAGTGTTGAAACACTCTTTTTGTAGAAACTGCAAGTGGATATTTGGACCTCTTTGAGGCCTTCGTTGGAAACGGGATTTCTTCCTATAACCCTAGACAGAAGAATTTTCAGAAACCTCATTGTGATGTGTGCGTTCATCTCACAGAGTGGAGTCTTCCGTTTGATAGAGAAGTTTTGAAACCCTGTTCTTGTAGGATTTCCAAGTGGATATTTAGACCACTTTGAAGCCTATGATAGAAAAGGAAACATCTTCATGGAAAACATAGATAGAATCATTCTCAGAAACAACTTTGTGATGTGTGTGTTGAACTCACCGTCTTTAACCTTTCTTTTGGTAGAGAAGTTTTGAAACACTCTCTTTGTAAAGTCTACAAGTGGATATTTTGAGCCCTTGGAGGCATTCTTTGGAAAAGGGAATGTCTTCACATAAAAGGCAGACAGAAGTGTTCTCAGAAACTGCTTTGTGATGTCTGTGTTCAACTCACAGAGTTTAACATTTCCTTTGATAGAGCAGTTTAGTAACACTCTCTTTGTAGAATTTGGAAGTGTATACTAAGAGCGCTTTGAGGCCTATGGTAGAAAAGGAAATATCTTTCCATAAAAGCTAGACACAAGCAATCTCAGAAACTCCTTTGTGATGTCTGCATTCAACTCACCGAGTGGAACATTCCTCTTGATAGAGCAGTTTGGAAACACTCTTTCTGTAGAATCAGCTTGTTTGTATTTGGACCTCCTTGAGGCCTTCGTTGGAAACGGGTTTTCATCTTATAAACCCAGACAGAAGAATTCTCAGAGTCTTCTTTGTGATGTGTGCTTTCAACTCACCGAGATAAAGATTTCTCTTGATAGAGCAATTTGGAAACACTCTTTTTGTAGAATTTGCAAGGGTACATTGAGAGCGCTTTCAGGCCTATGGTAGAAAAGGGAATATCTTTCCATAAAAGGTAGACAGAAGCAATCTCAGAAACTACTTTGTGATGTGTGCATTCAACTCACCGAGTGCAACATTCCTCTTGATAGAGCAGTTTGGAAACATTGTTTCTGTAGAATCTGCAAGTGGATATATGGACCGCTTTGAGGCCTTCGTTGGAAACGGGATTTCTTCCTATAAACCCAGACAGAAGAATTCTCAGAGACTTCTTTGTGATGTGTGAATTCAACTCACAGTGTGGATCCTTCCTTTTGATAGAGCAGTTTTGAAACACTGTTTTTGTAGTATTTCCAAGCGGATATTTGGAACGCCTTGAAGCGTATGGTAGAAAAGGAAATATCTTCCCATAAAACCTAGACAGAACCCATCTCAGAAACGACTTTGTGATGTCTGCATTCAACTCACAGAGTTGAACATTTCTCTTGATAGAGCAGTTTTGAAACCCTCTTTCTGAAGGATCTGCAAGTGGATATTTGGAACTCCTTTGGGTCTTCGTTGGAAACGGGATTTCTTCGTATAAATCCAGACAGAAGAATTCTCCGAAACTTCTTTGGTTGTGTGCATTCAAGTCACAGAGTGGAACCTTCCTTTGGATAGAGCAGTTTGAAACGCTGTGGTTGTAGTATTTCCAAGCGGATATTAGAGCGCCTTGAAGCCTATGGTAGAAAAGGAAATATCTTCCCATAAAACCTAGACGGAAGCAATCTCAGAAACTACTGTGTGACGGCTGCATTCCACACACACGGTGGAACATTTCTCTTGATAGAGCAGTTTTGAAACACTCTTTCTGTAGAATCTGCAAGTGGATAATTGGACCGCCTTGAGGCCTTCGTTGGAAACGGGATTTCTTCAAGTTACTCTAGATAGAAGAATTCTCAAACACTACTATGTGATGTTTGCATTCAAGTCACAGAGTGCAACATTCCTCTTCATAGAGCAGTTGGGAAACACTCCTTTTGTAGAATGTGCAATGGGATATTTGGACTTCTTTGAGGCCTTCGTTGGAAACGGGGTTTCTTCGTATGAATCTAGACAGAAGAATTCTCAGAAACTTCCTTGTGATGTGTGCATTCAACTCAGCGAGTGGCACCTTCCTTTGGATACAGCAGTTTTGAAACACTGTTTTTGTAGTATTTCCAAGCGGATATTTAGAGCGCCTTGAAGCCTATGCTAGAAATGGAAATATCTCCCCATAAAACCAAGACAGAAGCAATCTCAGAAACTAATGTGTGATGGCTGCATTCCACACACACGGTGGACCATTTCTCTTGATAGAGCAGTTTTGAAACACTCTTTCTGTAGAATCTGCAAGTGGATAATTGGACCTCCTAGAGGCCTTCGTTGGAAACGGGATTTCTTCATCTAAACCTACAGAGAAGAATTCTCAGTAACTTCTTCGGATGTGTGCATTCGACTCACAGAATGGAACATTCCGTTTGATAGAGCAGTTTTGAGACACCGTTTTCGTAGAATTCCCAAGTGGATATTTAGAGCACTTTGAAGTCTCTGCTAGAAAAGGAAACATCTTCATGTAAAAAGTAGATAGAATCGTTCTCAGAAAGTGCTTAGTGACGTGTGTGTTCAACTCACAGAGTTTAACGTTTCTTTTGATAGAGCGTTTCTGAAACACCCTGCTTGTAGTAGCTGCAAGTGGATATTTGGACCTATTTGAGGCCTTCCTTGGAAACGGGATTTCTTCATGTAACTCTAGTTTGAAGAATTTTCAGAAACTCCTTTGTGATGTGTGCATTCAATTCAAAGAGTGAAACCTCCCTTTTCACAGAGCAGTTTTGAAACACTGTTTTTGTAGGATTTCCAAGGGGATATTTATAGCGCATTGAGCCTACGGCAGAAAAAGAAACATCTTCCTATAAAAACTAGACAGAATAATTCTCAGAATCTGCTTTGCGATGTGTGCGTTCAACTCACAGAGTAAAACTTTTCTTTTGATAGAGCAGTTTTGAAACACTCTTTTTGTAGTATTTGCATGTGTATATTTAGAGCGCATTGAAGCCCACAGTAGAAAAGGAAATAACTTCACCTAAAACCTAGACAGAAGCAATCTCAGAAACTACTTTGTGATGTGTACATTCAACTCACAGAGTGGAACTTTCCTCTTTATAGAGCAGTGTTGAAACACTCTTTTTGTAGAAACTGCAAGTGGATATTTGGACCTCTTTGAGGCCTTCGTTGGAAACGGGATTTCTTCCTATAACCCTAGACAGAAGAATTTTCAGAAACCTCATTGTGATGTGTGCGTTCATCTCACAGAGTGGAGTGTTCCGTTTGATAGAGAAGTTTTGAAACCCTGTTCTTGTAGGATTTCCAAGTGGATATTTAGACCACTTTGAAGCCTATGATAGAAAAGGAAACATCTTCATGGAAAACATAGATAGAATCATTCTCAGAAACAACTTTGTGATGTGTGCGTTGAACTCACCGTCTTTAACCTCTCTTTTGGTAGAGAAGTTTTGAAACACTCTCTTTGTAAAGTCTACAAGTGGATATTTTGAGCCCTTGGAGGCATTCTTTGGAAAAGGGAATGTCTTCACATAAAAGGCAGACAGAAGTGTTCTCAGAAACTGCTTTGTGATGTCTGTGTTCAACTCACAGAGTTTAACATTTCCTTTGAGAGAGCGGTTTAGTAACACTCTCTTTGTAGAATTTGGAAGTGTATACTAAGAGCGCTTTGAGGCCTATGGTAGAAAAGGAAATATCTTTCCATAAAAGCTAGACAGAAGCAATCTCAGAAACTCCTTTGTGATGTCTGCATTCAACTCACCGAGTGGAACATTCCTCTTGATAGAGCAGTTTGGAAACACTCTTTCTGTAGAATCAGCTTGTTTGTATTTGGACCTCCTTGAGGCCTTCGGTTGGAAACGGGTTTTCATCTTATAAACCCAGACAGAAGAATTCTCAGAGTCTTCTTTGTGATGTGTGCTTTCAACTCACCGAGATAAAGATTTCTCTTGATAGAGCAATTTGGAAACACTCTTTTTGTAGAATTTGCAAGGGTACATTGAGAGCGCTTTCAGGCCTATGGTAGAAAAGGTAGACAGAAGCAATCTCAGAAACTACTTTGTGATGTGTGCATTCAACTCACCGAGTGCAACATTCCTCTTGATAGAGCAGTTTGGAAACATTGTTTCTGTAGAATCTGCAAGTGGATATATGGACCGCTTTGAGGCCTTCGTTGGAAACGGGATTTCTTCCTATAAACCCAGACAGAAAGAATTCTCAGTAGACTTCTTTGTGATGTGTGAATTCAACTCACAGTGTGGATCCTTCCTTTTGATAGAGCAGTTTTGAAACACTGTTTTTGTAGTATTTCCAAGCGGATATTTGGAACGCCTTGAAGCGTATGGTAGAAAAGGAAATATCTTCCCATAAAACCTAGACAGAACCCATCTCAGAAACGACTTTGTGATGTCTGCATTCAACTCACAGAGTTGAACATTTCTCTTGATAGAGCAGTTTTGAAACCCTCTTTCTGAAGGATCTGCAAGTGGATATTTGGAACTCCTTTGGGTCTTCGTTGGAAACGGGATTTCTTCGTATAAATCCAGACAGAAGAATTCTCCGAAACTTCTTTGGTTGTGTGCATTCAAGTCACAGAGTGGAACCTTCCTTTGGATAGAGCAGTTTGAAACGCTGTGGTTGTAGTATTTCCAAGCGGATATTAGAGCGCCTTGAAGCCTATGGTAGAAAAGGAAATATCTTCCCATAAAACCTAGACGGAAGCCATCTCAGAAACTACTGTGTGATGGCTGCATTCCACACACACGGTGGAACATTTCTCTTGATAGAGCAGTTTTGAAACACTCTTTCTGTAGAATCTGCAAGTGGATAATTGGACCGCCTTGAGGCCTTCGTTGGAAACGGGATTTCTTCATGTTACTCTAGACAGAAGAATTCTCAAACACTGCTGTGTGATGTTTGCATGCAAGTCACAGAGTGCAACATTCCTCTTGATAGAGCAGTTGGGAAACACTCCTTTTGTAGAATTTGCAATGGGATATTTGGACTTCTTTGAGGCCTTCGTTGGAAACGGGATTTCTTCGTATGAATCTAGACAGAAGAATTCTCAGAAACTTCCTTGTGATGTGTGCATTCAACTCAGCGAGTGGCACCTTCCTTTGGATACAGCAGTTTTGAAACACTGTTTTTGTAGTATTTCCAAGCGGATATTTAGAGCACCTTGAAGCCTATGCTAGAAATGGAAATATCTCCCCATAAAACCAAGACAGAAGCAATCTCAGAAACTAATGTGTGATGGCTGCATTCCACACACACGGTGGACCATTTCTCTTGATAGAGCAGTTTTGAAACACTCTTTCTGTAGAATCTGCAAGTGGATAATTGGACCTCCTAGAGGCCTTCGTTGGAAACGGGATTTCTTCATCTAAACCTACAGAGAAGAATTCTCAGTAACTTCTTCGGATGTGTGCATTCGACTCACAGAATGGAACATTCCCTTTGGTAGAGCAGTTTTGAGACACCGTTTTTGTAGAATTCCCAAGTGGATATTTAGAGCACTTTGAAGTCTCTGCTAGAAAAGGAAACATCTTCATGTAAAAAGTAGATAGAATCGTTCTCAGAAAGTGCTTAGTGACGTGTGCGTTCAACTCACAGAGTTTAACGTTTCTTTTGATAGAGCGTTTCTGAAACACCCTTCTTGTAGTAGCTGCAAGTGGATATTTGGACCTATTTGAGGCCTTCTTTGGAAACGGGATTTCTTCATGTAACTCTAGATTGAAGAATTTTCAGAAACTCCTTTGTGATGTGTGCATTCAATTCAAAGAGTGAAACCTCCCTTTTCACAGAGCAGTTTTGAAACACTGTTTTTGTAGGATTTCCAAGGGGATATTTATAGCGCATTGAGCCTATGGCAGAAAAAGAAACATCTTCCTATAAAAACTAGACAGAATAATTCTCAGAATCTGCTTTGCGATGTGTGCGTTCAACTCACAGAGTAAAACTTTTCTTTTGATAGAGCAGTTTTGAAACACTCTTTTTGTAGTATTTGCATGTGTATATTTAGAGCGCATTGAAGCCCACAGTAGAAAAGGAAATAACTTCACCTAAAACCTAGACAGAAGCAATCTCAGAAACTACTTTGTGATGTGTACATTCAACTCACAGAGTGGAACTTTCCTCTTTATAGAGCAGTGTTGAAACACTCTTTTTGTAGAAACTGCAAGTGGATATGTGGACCTCTTTGAGGCCTTCGTTGGAAACGGGATTTCTTCCTATAACCCTAGACAGAAGTAATTTTCAGAAACCTCATTGTGATGTGTGCGTTCATCTCACAGAGTGGAGTCTTCCGTTTGATAGAGAAGTTTTGAAACCCTGTTCTTGTAGGATTTCCAAGTGGATATTTAGACCACTTTGAAGCCTATGATAGAAAAGGAAACATCTTCATGGAAAACATAGATAGAATCATTCTCAGAAACAACTTTGTGATGTGTGCGTTGAACTCACCGTCTTTAACCTTTCTTTTGGTAGAGAAGTTTTGAAACACTCTCTTTGTAAAGTCTACAAGTGGATATTTTGAGCCCTTGGAGGCATTCTTTGGAAAAGGGAATGTCTTCACATAAAAGGCAGACAGAAGTGTTCTCAGAAACTGCTTTGTGATGTCTGTGTTCAACTCACAAGAGTGTAACATTTCCTTTGAGAGAGCGGTTTAGTAACACTCTCTTTGTAGAATTTGGAAGTGTATACTAAGAGCGCTTTGAGGCCTATGGTAGAAAAGGAAATATCTTTCCATAAAAGCTAGACAGAAGCAATCTCAGAAACTCCTTTGTGATGTCTGCATTCAACTCACCGAGTGGAACATTCCTCTTGATAGAGCAGTTTGGAAACACTCTTTCTGTAGAATCAGCTTGTTTGTATTTGGACCTCCTTGAGGCCTTCGTTGGAAACGGGTTTTCATCTTATAAACCCAGACAGAAGAATTCTCAGAGTCTTCTTTGTGATGTGTGCTTTCAACTCACCGAGATAAAGATTTCTCTTGATAGAGCAATTTGGAAACACTCTTTTTGTAGAATTTGCAAGGGTACATTGAGAGCGCTTTCAGGCCTATGGTAGAAAAGGGAATATCTTTCCATAAAAGGTAGACAGAAGCAATCTCAGAAACTACTTTGTGATGTGTGCATTCAACTCACCGATTGCAACATTCCTCTTGATAGAGCAGTTTGGAAACATTGTTTCTGTAGAATCTGCAAGTGGATATTTGGACCTCTTTGAGGCCTTCGTTGGAAACGGGATTTCTTCCTATAAACCCAGACAGAAGAATTCTCAGAGATTTCTTTGTGATGTGTGAATTCAACTCACAGTGTGGATCCTTCCTTTTGATAGAGCAGTTTTGAAACACCGTTTTTGTAGTATTTCCAAGCGGATATTTGGAACGCCTTGAAGCGTATGGTAGAAAAGGAAATATCTTCCCATAAAACCTAGACAGAACCCATCTCAGAAACGACTTTGTGATGTCTGCATTCAACTCACAGAGTTGAACATTTCTCTTGATAGAGCAGTTTTGAAACCCTCTTTCTGAAGGATCTGCAAGTGGATATTTGGAACTCCTTTGGGTCTTCGTTGGAAACGGGATTTCTTCGTATAAATCCAGACAGAAGAATTCTCCGAAACTTCTTTGGTTGTGTGCATTCAAGTCACAGAGTGGAACCTTCCTTTGGATAGAGCAGTTTGAAACGCTGTGGTTGTAGTATTTCCAAGCGGATATTAGAGCGCCTTGAGGCCTATGGTAGAAAAGGAAATATCTTCCCATAAAACCTAGACGGAAGCAATCTCAGAAACTACTGTGTGATGGCTGCATTCCACACACACGGTGGAACATTTCTCTTGATAGAGCAGTTTTGAAACACTCTTTCTGTAGAATCTGCAAGTGGATAATTGGACCGCCTTGAGGCCTTCGTTGGAAACGGGATTTCTTCATGTTACTCTAGACAGAAGAATTCTCAAACACTGCTATGTGATGTTTGCATTCAAGTCACAGAGTGCAACATTCCTCTTGATAGAGCAGTTGGGAAACACTCCTTTTGTAGAATTTGCAATGGGATATTTGGACTTCTTTGAGGCCTTCGTTGGAAACGGGATTTCTTCGTATGAATCTAGACAGAAGAATTCTCAGAAACTTCCTTGTGATGTGTGCATTCAACTCAGCGAGTGGCACCTTCCTTTGGATACAGCAGTTTTGAAACACTGTTTTTGTAGTATTTCCAAGCGGATATTTAGAGCGCCTTGAAGCCTATGCTAGAAATGGAAATATCTCCCCATAAAACCAAGACAGAAGCAATCTCAGAAACTAATGTGTGATGGCTGCATTCCACACACACGGTGGACCATTTCTCTTGATAGAGCAGTTTTGAAACACTCTTTCTGTAGAATCTGGAAGTGGATAATTGGACCTCCTAGAGGCTTTGGTTGGAAACGGGATTTCTTCATCTAAACTTACAGAGAAGAATTCTCAGTAACTTCTTCGGATGTGTGCATTCGACTCACAGAATGGAACATTCCCTTTGATAGAGCAGTTTTGAGACACCGTTTTTGTAGAATTCCCAAGTGGATATTTAGAGCACTTTGAAGTCTCTGCTAGAAAAGGAAACATCTTCATGTAAAAAGTAGATAGAATCGTTCTCAGAAAGTGCTTAGTGACGTGTGTGTTCAACTCACAGAGTTTAACGTTTCTTTTGATAGAGCGTTTCTGAAACACCCTTCTTGTAGTAGCTGCAAGTGGATATTTGGACCTATTTGAGGCCTTCTTTGGAAACGGGATTTCTTCATGTAACTCTAGATTGAAGAATTTTCAGAAACTCCTTTGTGATGTGTGCATTCAATTCAAAGAGTGAAACCTCCCTTTTCACAGAGCAGTTTTGAAACACTGTTTTTGTAGGATTTCCAAGGGGATATTTATAGCGCATTGAGCCTACGGCAGAAAAAGAAACATCTTCCTATAAAAACTAGACAGAATAATTCTCAGAATCTGCTTTGCGATGTGTGCGTTCAACTCACAGAGTAAAACTTTTCTTTTGATAGAGCAGTTTTGAAACACTCTTTTTGTAGTATTTGCATGTGTATATTTAGAGCGCATTGAAGCCCACAGTAGAAAAGGAAATAACTTCACCTAAAACCTAGACAGAAGCAATCTCAGAAACTACTTTGTGATGTGTACATTCAACTCACAGAGTGGAACTTTTCTCTTTATAGAGCAGTGTTGAAACACTCTTTTTGTAGAAACTGCAAGTGGATATTTGGACCTCTTTGAGGCCTTCGTTGGAAACGGGATTTCTTCCTATAACCCTAGACAGAAGAATTTTCAGAAACCTCATTGTGATGTGTGCGTTCATCTCACAGAGTGGAGTCTTCCGTTTGATAGAGAAGTTTTGAAACCCTGTTCTTGTAGGATTTCCAAGTGGATATTTAGACCACTTTGAAGCCTATGATAGAAAAGGAAACATCTTCATGGAAAACATAGATAGAATCATTCTCAGAAACAACTTTGTGATGTGTGCGTTGAACTCACCGTCTTTAACCTTTCTTTTGGTAGAGAAGTTTTGAAACACTCTCTTTGTAAAGTCTACAAGTGGATATTTTGAGCCCTTGGAGGCATTCTTTGGAAAAGGGAATGTCTTCACATAAAAGGCAGACAGAAGTGTTCTCAGAAACTGCTTTGTGATGTCTGTGTTCAACTCACAGAGTTTAACATTTCCTTTGAGAGAGCGGTTTAGTAACACTCTCTTTGTAGAATTTGGAAGTGTATACTAAGAGCGCTTTGAGGCCTATGGTAGAAAAGGAAATATCTTTCCATAAAAGCTAGACAGAAGCAATCTCAGAAACTCCTTTGTGATGTCTGCATTCAACTCACCGAGTGGAACATTCCTCTTGATAGAGCAGTTTGGAAACACTCTTTCTGTAGAATCAGCTTGTTTGTATTTGGACCTCCTTGAGGCCTTCGTTGGAAACGGGTTTTCATCTTATAAACCCAGACAGAAGAATTCTCAGAGTCTTCTTTGTGATGTGTGCTTTCAACTCACCGAGATAAAGATTTCTCTTGATAGAGCAATTTGGAAACACTCTTTTTGTAGAATTTGCAAGGGTACATTGAGAGCGCTTTCAGGCCTATGGTAGAAAAGGGAATATCTTTCCATAAAAGGTAGACAGAAGCAATCTCAGAAACTACTTTGTGATGTGTGCATTCAACTCACCGAGTGCAACATTCCTCTTGACCGAGCAGTTTGGAAACATTGTTTCTGTAGAATCTGCAAGTGGATATATGGACCTTCTTTGAGGCCTTCGTTGGAAACGGGATTTCTTCCTATAAACCCAGACAGAAGAATTCTCAGAGATTTCTTTGTGATGTGTGAATTCAACTCACAGTGTGGATCCTTCCTTTTGATAGAGCAGTTTTGAAACACTGTTTTTGTAGTATTTCCAAGCGGATATTTGGAACGCCTTGAAGCGTATGGTAGAAAAGGAAATATCTTCCCATAAAACCTAGACAGAACCAATCTCAGAAACGACTTTGTGATGTCTGCATTCAACTCACAGAGTTGAACATTTCTCTTGATAGAGCAGTTTTGAAACCCTCTTTCTGAAGGATCTGCAAGTGGATATTTGGAACTCCTTTGGGTCTTCGTTGGAAACGGGATTTCTTCGTATAAATCTAGACAGAAGAATTCTCCGAAACTTCTTTGGTTGTGTGCATTCAAGTCACAGAGTGGAACCTTCCTTTGGATAGAGCAGTTTGAAACGCTGTGGTTGTAGTATTTCCAAGCGGATATTAGAGCGCCTTGAAGCCTATGGTAGAAAAGGAAATATCTTCCCATAAAACCTAGACGGAACCCATCTCAGAAACGACTTTGTGATGTCTGCATTCAACTCACAGAGTTGAACATTTCTCTTGATAGAGCAGTTTTGAAACACTCTTTCTGTAGAATCTGCAAGTGGATAATTGGACCGCTTTGAGGCCTTCGTTGGAAACGGGATTTCTTCATGTTACTCTAGACAGAAGAATTCTCAAACACTGCTATGTGATGTTTGCATTCAAGTCACAGAGTGCAACATTCCTCTTGATAGAGCAGTTGGGAAACACTCCTTTTGTAGAATTTGCAATGGGATATTTGGACTTCTTTGAGGCCTTCGTTGGAAACGGGATTTCTTCGTATGAATCTAGACAGAAGAATTCTCAGAAACTTCCTTGTGATGTGTGCATTCAACTCAGCGAGTGGCACCTTCCTTTGGATACAGCAGTTTTGAAACACTGTTTTTGTAGTATTTCCAAGCGGATATTTAGAGCGCCTTGAAGCCTATGCTAGAAATGGAAATATCTCCCCATAAAACCAAGACAGAAGCAATCTCAGAAACTAATGTGTGATGGCTGCATTCCACACACACGGTGGACCATTTCTCTTGATAGAGCAGTTTTGAAACACTCTTTCTGTAGAATCTGCAAGTGGATAATTGGACCTCCTAGAGGCCTTCGTTGGAAACGGGATTTCTTCATCTAAACCTACAGAGAAGAATTCTCAGTAACTTCTTCGGATGTGTGCATTCGACTCACAGAATGGAACATTCCCTTTGATAGAGCAGTTTTGAGACACCGTTTTTGTAGAATTCCCAAGTGGATATTTAGAGCACTTTGAAGTCTCTGCTAGAAAAGGAAACATCTTCATGTAAAAAGTAGATAGAATCGTTCTCAGAAAGTGCTTAGTGACGTGTGTGTTCAACTCACAGAGTTTATCGTTTCTTTTGATAGAGCGTTTCTGAAACACCCTTCTTGTAGTAGCTGCAAGTGGATATTTGGACCTATTTGAGGCCTTCTTTGGAAACGGGATTTCTTCATGTAACTCTAGATTGAAGAATTTTCAGAAACTCCTTTGTGATGTGTGCATTCAATTCAAAGAGTGAAACCTCCCTTTTCACAGAGCAGTTTTGAAACACTGTTTTTGTAGGATTTCCAAGGGGATATTTATAGCGCATTGATCCTATGGCAGAAAAAGAAACATCTTCCTATAAAAACTAGACAGAATAATTCTCAGAATCTGCTTTGCGATGTGTGCGTTCAACTCACAGAGTAAAACTTTTCTTTTGATAGAGCAGTTTTGAAACACTCTTTTTGTAGTATTTGCATGTGTATATTTAGAGCGCATTGAAGCCCACAGTAGAAAAGGAAATAACTTCACCTAAAACCTAGACAGAAGCAATCTCAGAAACTACTTTGTGATGTGTACATTCAACTCACAGAGTGGAACTTTCCTCTTTATAGAGCAGTGTTGAAACACTCTTTTTGTAGAAACTGCAAGTGGATATGTGGACCTCTTTGAGGCCCTCGTTGGAAACGGGATTTCTTCCTATAACCCTAGACAGAAGAATTTTCAGAAACCTCATTGTGATGTGTGCGTTCATCTCACAGAGTGGAGTCTTCCGTTTGATAGAGAAGTTTTGAAACCCTGTTCTTGTAGGATTTCCAAGTGGATATTTAGACCACTTTGAAGCCTATGATAGAAAAGGAAACATCTTCATGGAAAACATAGATAGAATCATTCTCAGAAACAACTTTGTGATGTGTGCGTTGAACTCACCGTCTTTAACCTTTCTTTTGGTAGAGAAGTTTTGAAACACTCTCTTTGTAAAGTCTACAAGTGGATATTTTGAGCCCTTGGAGGCATTCTTTGGAAAAGGGAATGTCTTCACATAAAAGGCAGACAGAAGTGTTCTCAGAAACTGCTTTGTGATGTCTGTGTTCAACTCACAGAGTTTAACATTTCCTTTGAGAGAGCGGTTTAGTAACACTCTCTTTGTAGAATTTGGAAGTGTATACTAAGAGCGCTTTGAGGCCTATGGTAGAAAAGGAAATATCTTTCCATAAAAGCTAGACAGAAGCAATCCCAGAAACTCCTTTGTGATGTCTGCATTCAACTCACCGAGTGGAACATTCCTCTTGATAGAGCAGTTTGGAAACACTCTTTCTGTAGAATCAGCTTGTTTGTATTTGGACCTCCTTGAGGCCTTCGTTGGAAACGGGTTTTCCTCTTATAAACCCAGACAGAAGAATTCTCAGAGTCTTCTTTGTGATGTGTGCTTCCAACTCACCGAGATAAAGATTTTTGTTGATAGAGCAATTTGGAAACACTCTTTTTGTAGAATTTGCAAGGGTACATTGAGAGCGCTTTCAGGCCTGTGGTAGAAAAGGGAATATCTTTCCATAAAAGGTAGACAGAAGCAATCTCAGAAACTACTTTGTGATGTGTGCATTCAACTCACCGAGTGCAACGTTCCTCTTGATAGAGCAGTTTGGAAACATTGTTTCTGTAGAATCTGCAAGTGGATATTTGGACCTCTTTGAGGCCTTCGTTGGAAACGGGATTTCTTCCTATAAACCCAGACAGAAGAATTCTCAGAGACTTCTTTGTGATGTGTGAATTCAACTCACAGTGTGGATCCTTCCTTTTGATAGAGCAGTTTTGAAACACTGTTTTTGTAGTATTTCCAAGCGGATATTTGGAACGCCTTGAAGCGCATGGTAGAAAAGGAAATATCTTCCCATAAAACCTAGACAGAACCAATCTCAGAAACGACTTTGTGATGTCTGCATTCAACTCACAGAGTTGAACATTTCTCTTGATAGAGCAGTTTTGAAACCCTCTTTCTGAAGGATCTGCAAGTGGATATTTGGAACTCCTTTGGGTCTTCGTTGGAAACGGGATTTCTTCGTATAAATCTAGACAGAAGAATTCTCCGAAACTTCTTTGGTTGTGTGCATTCAAGTCACAGAGTGGAACCTTCCTTTGGATAGAGCAGTTTGAAACGCTGTGGTTGTAGTATTTCCAAGCGGATATTAGAGCGCCTTGAAGCCTATGGTAGAAAAGGAAATATCTTCCCATAAAACCTAGACGGAAGCAATCTCAGAAACTACTGTGTGATGGCTGCATTCCACACACACGGTGGAACATTTCTCTTGATAGAGCAGTTTTGAAACACTCTTTCTGTAGAATCTGCAAGTGGATAATTGGACCGCCTTGAGGCCTTCGTTGGAAACGGGATTTCTTCATGTTACTCTAGACAGAAGAATTCTCAAACACTGCTATGTGATGTTTGCATTCAAGTCACAGAGTGCAACATTCCTCTTGATAGAGCAGTTGGGAAACACTCCTTTTGTAGAATTTGCAATGGGATATTTGGACTTCTTTGAGGCCTTCGTTGGAAACGGGATTTCTTCGTATGAATCTAGACAGAAGAATTCTCAGAAACTTCCTTGTGATGTGTGCATTCAACTCAGCGAGTGGCACCTTCCTTTGGATACAGCAGTTTTGAAACACTGTTTTTGTAGTATTTCCAAGCGGATATTTAGAGCGCCTTGAAGCCTATGCTAGAAATGGAAATATCTCCCCATAAAACCAAGACAGAAGCAATCTCAGAAACTAATGTGTGATGGCTGCATTCCACACACACGGTGGACCATTTCTCTTGATAGAGCAGTTTTGAAACACTCTTTCTGTAGAATCTGCAAGTGGATAATTGGACCTCCTAGAGGCCTTCGTTGGAAACGGGATTTCTTCATCTAAACCTACAGAGAAGAATTCTCAGTAACTTCTTCGGATGTGTGCATTCGACTCACAGAATGGAACATTCCCTTTGGTAGAGCAGTTTTGAGACACCGTTTTTGTAGAATTCCCAAGTGGATATTTAGAGCACTTTGAAGTCTCTGCTAGAAAAGGAAACATCTTCATGTAAAAAGTAGATAGAATCGTTCTCAGAAAGTGCTTAGTGACGTGTGCGTTCAACTCACAGAGTTTAACGTTTCTTTTGATAGAGCGTTTCTGAAACACCCTTCTTGTAGTAGCTGCAAGTGGATATTTGGACCTATTTGAGGCCTTCTTTGGAAACGGGATTTCTTCATGTAACTCTAGATTGAAGAATTTTCAGAAACTCCTTTGTGATGTGTGCATTCAATTCAAAGAGTGAAACCTCCCTTTTCACAGAGCAGTTTTGAAACACTGTTTTTGTAGGATTTCCAAGGGGATATTTATAGCGCATTGAGCCTATGGCAGAAAAAGAAACATCTTCCTATAAAAACTAGACAGAATAATTCTCAGAATCTGCTTTGCGATGTGTGCGTTCAACTCACAGAGTAAAACTTTTCTTTTGATAGAGCAGTTTTGAAACACTCTTTTTGTAGTATTTGCATGTGTATATTTAGAGCGCATTGAAGCCCACAGTAGAAAAGGAAATAACTTCACCTAAAACCTAGACAGAAGCAATCTCAGAAACTACTTTGTGATGTGTACATTCAACTCACAGAGTGGAACTTTTCTCTTTATAGAGCAGTGTTGAAACACTCTTTTTGTAGAAACTGCAAGTGGATATTTGGACCTCTTTGAGGCCTTCGTTGGAAACGGGATTTCTTCCTATAACCCTAGACAGAAGAATTTTCAGAAACCTCATTGTGATGTGTGCGTTCATCTCACAGAGTGGAGTCTTCCGTTTGATAGAGAAGTTTTGAAACCCTGTTCTTGTAGGATTTCCAAGTGGATATTTAGACCACTTTGAAGCCTATGATAGAAAAGGAAACATCTTCATGGAAAACATAGATAGAATCATTCTCAGAAACAACTTTGTGATGTGTGCGTTGAACTCACAGTCTTTAACCTTTCTTTTGGTAGAGAAGTTTTGAAACACTCTCTTTGTAAAGTCTACAAGTGGATATTTTGGGCCCTTGGAGGCCTTCTTTGGAAAAGGGAATGTCTTCACATAAAAGGCAGACAGAAGTGTTCTCAGAAACTGCTTTGTGATGTCTGTGTTCAACTCACAGAGTTTAACATTTCCTTTGAGAGAGCGGTTTAGTAACACTCTCTTTGTAGAATTTGGAAGTGTATACCAAGAGCGCTTTGAGGCCTATGGTAGAAAAGGAAATATCTTTCCATAAAAGCTAGACAGAAGCAATCTCAGAAACTCCTTTGTGATGTCTGCATTCAACTCACCGAGTGGAACATTCCTCTTGATAGAGCAGTTTGGAAACACTCTTTCTGTAGAATCAGCTTGTTTGTATTTGGACCTCCTTGAGGCCTTCGTTGGAAACGGGTTTTCATCTTATAAACCCAGACAGAAGAATTCTCAGAGTCTTCTTTGTGATGTGTGCTTTCAACTCACCGAGATAAAGATTTCTCTTGATAGAGCAATTTGGAAACACTCTTTTTGTAGAATTTGCAAGGGTACATTGAGAGCGCTTTCAGGCCTATGGTAGAAAAGGGAATATCTTTCCATAAAAGGTAGACAGAAGCAATCTCAGAAACTACTTTGTGATGTGTGCATTCAACTCACCGAGTGCAACATTCCTCTTGATAGAGCAGTTTGGAAACATTGTTTCTGTAGAATCTGCAAGTGGATATATGGACCGCTTTGAGGCCTTCGTTGGAAACGGGATTTCTTCCTATAAACCCAGACAGAAGAATTCTCAGAGATTTCTTTGTGATGTGTGAATTCAACTCACAGTGTGGATCCTTCCTTTTGATAGAGCAGTTTTGAAACACTGTTTTTGTAGTATTTCCAAGCGGATATTTGGAACGCCTTGAATCGTATGGTAGAAAAGGAAATATCTTCCCATAAAACCTAGACAGAACCCATCTCAGAAACGACTTTGTGATGTCTGCATTCAACTCACAGAGTTGAACATTTCTCTTGATAGAGCAGTTTTGAAACCCTCTTTCTGAAGGATCTGCAAGTGGATATTTGGAACTCCTTTGGGTCTTCGTTGGAAACGGGATTTCTTCGTATAAATCCAGACAGAACAATTCTCCGAAACTTCTTTGGTTGTGTGCATTCAAGTCACAGATTGGAACCTTCCTTTGGATAGAGCAGTTTGAAACGCTGTGGTTGTAGTATTTCCAAGCGGATATTAGAGCGCCTTGAAGCCTATGGTAGAAAAGGAAATATCTTCCCATAAAACCTAGACGGAAGCAATCTCAGAAACTACTGTGTGATGGCTGCATTCCACACACACGGTGGAACATTTCTCTTGATAGAGCAGTTTTGAAACACTCTTTCTGTAGAATCTGCAAGTGGATAATTGGACCGCCTTGAGGCCTTCGTTGGAAACGGGATTTCTTCATGTTACTCTAGACAGAAGAATTCTCAAACACTGCTGTGTGATGTTTGCATGCAAGTCACAGAGTGCAACATTCCTCTTGATAGAGCAGTTGGGAAACACTCCTTTTGTAGAATTTGCAATGGGATATTTGGACTTCTTTGAGGCCTTCGTTGGAAACGGGATTTCTTCGTATGAATCTAGACAGAAGAATTCTCAGAAACTTCCTTGTGATGTGTGCATTCAACTCAGCGAGTGGCACCTTCCTTTGGATACAGCAGTTTTGAAACACTGTTTTTGTAGTATTTCCAAGCGGATATTTAGAGCGCCTTGAAGCCTATGCTAGAAATGGAAATATCTCCCCATAAAACCAAGACAGAAGCAATCTCAGAAACTAATGTGTGATGGCTGCATTCCACACACACGGTGGACCATTTCTCTTGATAGAGCAGTTTTGAAACACTCTTTCTGTAGAATCTGCAAGTGGATAATTGGACCTCCTAGAGGCCTTCGTTGGAAACGGGATTTCTTCATCTAAACCTACAGAGAAGAATTCTCAGTAACTTCTTCGGATGTGTGCATTCGACTCACAGAATGGAACATTCCCTTTGATAGAGCAGTTTTGAGACACCGTTTTTGTAGAATTCCCAAGTGGATATTTAGAGCACTTTGAAGTCTCTGCTAGAAAAGGAAACATCTTCATGTAAAAAGTAGATAGAATCGTTCTCAGAAAGTGCTTAGTGACGTGTGTGTTCAACTCACAGAGTTTAACGTTTCTTTTGATAGAGCGTTTCTGAAACACCCTTCTTGTAGTAGCTGCAAGTGGATATTTGGACCTATTTGAGGCCTTCTTTGGAAACGGGATTTCTTCATGTAACTCTAGTTTGAAGAATTTTCAGAAACTCCTTTGTGATGTGTGCATTCAATTCAAAGAGTGAAACCTCCCTTTTCACAGAGCAGTTTTGAAACACTGTTTTTGTAGGATTTCCAAGGGGATATTTATAGCGCATTGATCCTATGGCAGAAAAAGAAACATCTTCCTATAAAAACTAGACAGAATAATTCTCAGAATCTGCTTTGCGATGTGTGCGTTCAACTCACAGAGTAAAACTTTTCTTTTGATAGAGCAGTTTTGAAACACTCTTTTTGTAGTATTTGCATGTGTATATTTAGAGCGCATTGAAGCCCACAGTAGAAAAGGAAATAACTTCACCTAAAACCTAGACAGAAGCAATCTCAGAAACTACTTTGTGATGTGTACATTCAACTCACAGAGTGGAACTTTCCTCTTTATAGAGCAGTGTTGAAACACTCTTTTTGTAGAAACTGCAAGTGGATATTTGGACCTCTTTGAGGCCTTCGTTGGAAACGGGATTTCTTCCTATAACCCTAGACAGAAGAATTTTCAGAAACCTCATTGTGATGTGTGCGTTCATCTCACAGAGTGGAGTCTTCCGTTTGATAGAGAAGTTTTGAAACCCTGTTCTTGTAGGATTTCCAAGTGGATATTTAGACCACTTTGAAGCCTATGATAGAAAAGGAAACATCTTCATGGAAAACATAGATAGAATCATTCTCAGAAACAACTTTGTGATGTGTGCGTTGAACTCACCGTCTTTAACCTTTCTTTTGGTAGAGAAGTTTTGAAACACTCTCTTTGTAAAGTCTACAAGTGGATATTTTGAGCCCTTGGAGGCATTCTTTGGAAAAGGGAATGTCTTCACATAAAAGGCAGACAGAAGTGTTCTCAGAAACTGCTTTGTGATGTCTGTGTTCAACTCACAGAGTTTAACATTTCCTTTGAGAGAGCGGTTTAGTAACACTCTCTTTGTAGAATTTGGAAGTGTATACTAAGAGTGCTTTGAGGCCTATGGTAGAAAAGGAAATATCTTTCCATAAAAGCTAGACAGAAGCAATCTCAGAAACTCCTTTGTGATGTCTGCATTCAACTCACCGAGTGGAACATTCCTCTTGATAGAGCAGTTTGGAAACACTCTTTCTGTAGAATCAGCTTGTTTGTATTTGGACCTCCTTGAGGCCTTCGTTGGAAACGGGTTTTCATCTTATAAACCCAGACAGAAGAATTCTCAGAGTCTTCTTTGTGATGTGTGCTTTCAACTCACCGAGATAAAGATTTCTCTTGATAGAGCAATTTGGAAACACTCTTTTTGTAGAATTTGCAAGGGTACATTGAGAGCGCTTTCAGGCCTATGGTAGAAAAGGGAATATCTTTCCATAAAAGGTAGACAGAAGCAATCTCAGAAACTACTTTGTGATGTGTGCATTCAACTCACCGAGTGCAACATTCCTCTTGATAGAGCAGTTTGGAAACATTGTTTCTGTAGAATCTGCAAGTGGATATATGGACCGCTTTGAGGCCTTCGTTGGAAACGGGATTTCTTCCTATAAACCCAGACAGAAGAATTCTCAGAGATTTCTTTGTGATGTGTGAATTCAACTCACAGTGTGGATCCTTCCTTTTGATAGAGCAGTTTTGAAACACTGTTTTTGTAGTATTTCCAAGCGGATATTTGGAACGCCTTGAAGCGTAAGGTAGAAAAGGAAATATCTTCCCATAAAACCTAGACAGAACCCATCTCAGAAACGACTTTGTGATGTCTGCATTCAACTCACAGAGTTGAACATTTCTCTTGATAGAGCAGTTTTGAAACCCTCTTTCTGAAGGATCTGCAAGTGGATATTTGGAACTCCTTTGGGTCTTCGTTGGAAACGGGATTTCTTCGTATAAATCCAGACAGAAGAATTCTCCGAAACTTCTTTGGTTGTGTGCATTCAAGTCACAGAGTGGAACCTTCCTTTGGATAGAGCAGTTTGAAACGCTGTGGTTGTAGTATTTCCAAGCGGATATTAGAGCGCCTTGAAGCCTATGGTAGAAAAGGAAATATCTTCCCATAAAACCTAGACGGAAGCAATCTCAGAAACTACTGTGTGATGGCTGCATTCCACACACACGGTGGAACATTTCTCTTGATAGAGCAGTTTTGAAACACTCTTTCTGTAGAATCTGCAAGTGGATAATTGGACCGCCTTGAGGCCTTCGTTGGAAACGGGATTTCTTCATGTTACTCTAGACAGAAGAATTCTCAAACACTGCTATATGATGTTTGCATGCAAGTCACAGAGTGCAACATTCCTCTTGATAGAGCAGTTGGGAAACACTCCTTTTGTAGAATTTGCAATGGGATATTTGGACTTCTTTGAGGCCTTCGTTGGAAACGGGATTTCTTCGTATGAATCTAGACAGAAGAATTCTCAGAAACTTCCTTGTGATGTGTGCATTCAACTCAGCGAGTGGCACCTTCCTTTGGATACAGCAGTTTTGAAACACTGTTTTTGTACTATTTCCAAGCGGATATTTAGAGCGCCTTGAAGCCTATGCTAGAAATGGAAATATCTCCCCATAAAACCAAGACAGAAGCAATCTCAGAAACTAATGTGTGATGGCTGCATTCCACACACACGGTGGACCATTTCTCTTGATAGAGCAGTTTTGAAACACTCTTTCTGTAGAATCTGCAAGTGGATAATTGGACCTCCTAGAGGCCTTCGTTGGAAACGGGATTTCTTCATCTAAACCTACAGAGAAGAATTCTCAGTAACTTCTTCGGATGTGTGCATTCGACTCACAGAATGGAACATTCCCTTTGATAGAGCAGTTTTGAGACACCGTTTTTGTAGAATTCCCAAGTGGATATTTAGAGCACTTTGAAGTCTCTGCTAGAAAAGGAAACATCTTCATGTAAAAAGTAGATAGAATCGTTCTCAGAAAGTGCTTAGTGACGTGTGTGTTCAACTCACAGAGTTTAACGTTTCTTTTGATAGAGCGTTTCTGAAACACCCTTCTTGTAGTAGCTGCAAGTGGATATTTGGACCTATTTGAGGCCTTCTTTGGAAACGGGATTTCTTCATGTAACACTAGATTGAAGAATTCTCAGAAACTCCTTTGTGATGTGTGCATTCAATTCAAAGAGTGAAACCTCCCTTTTCACAGAGCAGTTTGGAAACACTGTTTTTGTAGGATTTCCAAGGGGATATTTATAGCGCATTGAGCCTACGGCACAAAAAGAAACACCTTCCTATAAAAACTAGACAGAATAATTCTCAGAATCTGCTTTGCCATGTGTGCGTTCAACTCACAGAGTAAAACTTTTCTTTTGATAGAGCAGTTTTGAAACACTCTTTTTGTAGTATTTGCATGTGTATATTTAGAGCGCATTGAAGCCCACAGTAGAAAAGGAAATAACTTCACCTAAAACCTAGACAGACATCTCTACAAAAAATTTTAAAGTTAGGTGTGGTGGTGCGAACCTGTAGTCTCAGCTGCTCGGGAGGCTGAAGCAGAAAGATCGCCCCATATGTGAGAAGTTGAGGCTGCATTGAGCTGTGATCACATCACCACACTCCAGCCTGGGCCACAGAGCTGAGACCCTGTCTCAAAAAATTCAAAAATGTAGGCTGGCATTGGGTGGAAAGAGGTCCAAATATCCACTTGCAGTTTCTACAAAAAGAGTGTTTCAACACTGCTCTATAAAGAGAAAAGTTCCACTCTGTGAGTTGAATGTACACATCACAAAGTAGTTTCTGAGATTGCTTC
>NC_000006.12:59819063-59829934 GCF_000001405.40 Homo sapiens
AGAATTTTCAGCAAACCTCATTGTGATGTGTGCGTTCATCTCACAGAGTGGAGTCTTCCGTTTGATAGAGAAGTTTTGAAACGCTGTTCTTGTAGGATTTCCAAGTGGATATTTAGACCACTTTGAAGCCTATGATAGAAAAGGAAACATCTTCATGGAAAACATAGATAGAATCATTCTCAGAAACAACTTTGTGATGTGTGCGTTGAACTCACCGTCTTTAACCTTTCTTTTGGTAGAGAAGTTTTGAAACACTCTCTTTGTAAAGTCTACAAGTGGATATTTTGAGCCCTTGGAGGCATTCTTTGGAAAAGGGAATGTCTTCACATAAAAGGCAGACAGAAGTGTTCTCAGAAACTGCTTTGTGATGTCTGTGTTCAACTCACAGAGTTTAACATTTCCTTTGAGAGAGCGGTTTAGTAACACTCTCTTTGTAGAATTTGGAAGTGTATACTAAGAGCGCTTTGAGGCCTATGGTAGAAAAGGAAATATCTTTCCATAAAAGCTAGACAGAAGCAATCTCAGAAACTCCTTTGTGATGTCTGCATTCAACTCACCGAGTGGAACATTCCTCTTGATAGAGCAGTTTGGAAACACTCTTTCTGTAGAATCAGCTTGTTTGTATTTGGACCTCCTTGAGGCCTTCGTTGGAAACGGGTTTTCATCTTATAAACCCAGACAGAAGAATTCTCAGAGTCTTCTTTGTGATGTGTGCTTTCAACTCACCGAGATAAAGATTTCTCTTGATAGAGCAATTTGGAAACACTCTTTTTGTAGAATTTGCAAGGGTACATTGAGAGCGCTTTCAGGCCTATGGTAGAAAAGGGAATATCTTTCCATAAAAGGTAGACAGAAGCAATCTCAGAAACTACTTTGTGATGTGTGCATTCAACTCACCGAGTGCAACATTCCTCTTGATAGAGCAGTTTGGAAACATTGTTTCTGTAGAATCTGCAAGTGGATATATGGACCGCTTTGAGGCCTTCGTTGGAAACGGGATTTCTTCCTATAAACCCAGACAGAAGAATTCTCAGAGACTTCTTTGTGATGTGTGAATTCAACTCACAGTGTGGATCCTTCCTTTTGATAGAGCAGTTTCGAAACACTGTTTTTGTAGTATTTCCAAGCGGATATTTGGAACGCCTTGAAGCGTATGGTAGAAAAGGAAATATCTTCCCATAAAACCTAGACAGAACCAATCTCAGAAACGACTTTGTGATGTCTGCATTCAACTCACAGAGTTGAACATTTCTCTTGATAGAGCAGTTTTGAAACCCTCTTTCTGAAGGATCTGCAAGTGGATATTTGGAACTCCTTTGGGTCTTCGTTGGAAACGGGATTTCTTCGTATAAATCTAGACAGAAGAATTCTCCGAAACTTCTTTGGTTGTGTGCATTCAAGTCACAGAGTGGAACCTTCCTTTGGATAGAGCAGTTTGAAACGCTGTGGTTGTAGTATTTCCAAGCGGATATTAGAGCGCCTTGAGGCCTATGGTAGAAAAGGAAATATCTTCCCATAAAACCTAGACGGAAGCAATCTCAGAAACTACTGTGTGATGGCTGCATTCCACACACACGGTGGAACATTTCTCTTGATAGAGCAGTTTTGAAACACTCTTTCTGTAGAATCTGCAAGTGGATAATTGGACCGCCTTGAGGCCTTCGTTGGAAACGGGATTTCTTCATGTTACTCTAGACAGAAGAATTCTCAAACACTGCTATGTGATGTTTGCATGCAAGTCACAGAGTGCAACATTCCTCTTGATAGAGCAGTTGGGAAACACTCCTTTTGTAGAATTTGCAATGGGATATTTGGACTTCTTTGAGGCCTTCGTTGGAAACGGGATTTCTTCGTATGAATCTAGACAGAAGAATTCTCAGAAACTTCTTTGTGATGTGTGCATTCAACTCAGCGAGTGGCACCTTCCTTTGGATACAGCAGTTTTGAAACACTGTTTTTGTAGTATTTCCAAGCGGATATTTAGAGCGCCTTGAAGCCTACGCTAGAAATGGAAATATCTCCCCATAAAACCAAGACAGAAGCAATCTCAGAAACTAATGTGTGATGGCTGCATTCCACACACACGGTGGACCATTTCTCTTGATAGAGCAGTTTTGAAACACTCTTTCTGTAGAATCTGCAAGTGGATAATTGGACCTCCTAGAGGCCTTCGTTGGAAATAGGATTTCTTCATCTAAACCTACAGAGAAGAATTCTCAGTAACTTCTTCGGATGTGTGCATTCGACTCACAGAATGGAACATTCCCTTTGATAGAGCAGTTTTGAGACACCGTTTTTGTAGAATTCCCAAGTGGATATTTAGAGCACTTTGAAGTCTCTGCTAGAAAAGGAAACATCTTCATGTAAAAAGTAGATAGAATCGTTCTCAGAAAGTGCTTAGTGACGTGTGCGTTCAACTCACAGAGTTTAACGTTTCTTTTGATAGAGCGTTTCTGAAACACCCTTCTTGTAGTAGCTGCAAGTGGATATTTGGACCTATTTGAGGCCTTCTTTGGAAACGGGATTTCTTCATGTAACTCTAGATTGAAGAATTTTCAGAAACTCCTTTGTGATGTGTGCATTCAATTCAAAGAGTGAAACCTCCCTTTTCACAGAGCAGTTTTGAAACACTGTTTTTGTAGGATTTCCAAGGGGATATTTATAGCGCATTGAGCCTATGGCAGAAAAAGAAACATCTTCCTATAAAAACTAGACAGAATAATTCTCAGAATCTGCTTTGCGATGTGTGCGTTCAACCCACAGAGTAAAACTTTTCTTTTGATAGAGCAGTTTTGAAACACTCTTTTTGTAGTATTTGCATGTGTATATTTAGAGCGCATTGAAGCCCAAAGTAGAAAAGGAAATAACTTCACCTAAAACCTAGACAGAAGCAATCTCAGAAACTACTTTGTGATGTGTACATTCAACTCACAGAGTGGAACTTTTCTCTTTATAGAGCAGTGTTGAAACACTCTTTTTGTAGAAACTGCAAGTGGATATTTGGACCTCTTTGAGGCCTTCGTTGGAAACGGGATTTCTTCCTATAACCCTAGACAGAAGAATTTTCAGAAACCTCATTGTGATGTGTGCGTTCATCTCACAGAGTGGAGTCTTCCGTTTGATAGAGAAGTTTTGAAACCCTGTTCTTGTAGGATTTCCAAGTGGATATTTAGACCACTTTGAAGCCTATGATAGAAAAGGAAACATCTTCATGGAAAACATAGATAGAATCATTCTCAGAAACAACTTTGTGATGTGTGCGTTGAACTCACCGTCTTTAACCTTTCTTTTGGTAGAGAAGTTTTGAAACACTCTCTTTGTAAAGTCTACAAGTGGATATTTTGAGCCCTTGGAGGCATTCTTTGGAAAAGGGAATGTCTTCACATAAAAGGCAGACAGAAGTGTTCTCAGAAACTGCTTTGTGATGTCTGTGTTCAACTCACAGAGTTTAACATTTCCTTTGAGAGAGCGGTTTAGTAACACTCTCTTTGTAGAATTTGGAAGTGTATACTAAGAGCGCTTTGAGGCCTATGGTAGAAAAGGAAATATCTTTCCATAAAAGCTAGACAGAAGCAATCTCAGAAACTCCTTTGTGATGTCTGCATTCAACTCACCGAGTGGAACATTCCTCTTGATAGAGCAGTTTGGAAACACTCTTTCTGTAGAATCAGCTTGTTTGTATTTGGACCTCCTTGAGGCCTTCGTTGGAAACGGGTTTTCATCTTATAAACCCAGACAGAAGAATTCTCAGAGTCTTCTTTGTGATGTGTGCTTTCAACTCACCGAGATAAAGATTTCTCTTGATAGAGCAATTTGGAAACACTCTTTTTGTAGAATTTGCAAGGGTACATTGAGAGCGCTTTCAGGCCTATGGTAGAAAAGGGAATATCTTTCCATAAAAGGTAGACAGAAGCAATCTCAGAAACTACTTTGTGATGTGTGCATTCAACTCACCGAGTGCAACATTCCTCTTGATAGAGCAGTTTGGAAACATTGTTTCTGTAGAATCTGCAAGTGGATATATGGACCGCTTTGAGGCCTTCGTTGGAAACGGGATTTCTTCCTATAAACCCAGACAGAAGAATTCTCAGAGATTTCTTTGTGATGTGTGAATTCAACTCACAGTGTGGATCCTTCCTTTTGATAGAGCAGTTTTGAAACACTGTTTTTGTAGTATTTCCAAGCGGATATTTGGAACGCCTTGAAGCGTATGGTAGAAAAGGAAATATCTTCCCATAAAACCTAGACAGAACCAATCTCAGAAACGACTTTGTGATGTCTGCATTCAACTCACAGAGTTGAACATTTCTCTTGATAGAGCAGTTTTGAAACCCTCTTTCTGAAGGATCTGCAAGTGGATATTTGGAACTCCTTTGGGTCTTCGTTGGAAACGGGATTTCTTCGTATAAATCTAGACAGAAGAATTCTCCGAAACTTTTTGGTTGTGTGCATTCAAGTCACAGAGTGGAACCTTCCTTTGGATAGAGCAGTTTGAAACGCTGTGGTTGTAGTATTTCCAAGCGGATATTAGAGCGCCTTGAGGCCTATGGTAGAAAAGGAAATATCTTCCCATAAAACCTAGACGGAAGCAATCTCAGAAACTACTGTGTGATGGCTGCATTCCACACACACGGTGGAACATTTCTCTTGATAGAGCAGTTTTGAAACACTCTTTCTGTAGAATCTGCAAGTGGATAATTGGACCGCCTTGAGGCCTTCGTTGGAAACGGGATTTCTTCATGTTACTCTAGACAGAAGAATTCTCAAACACTGCTATGTGATGTTTGCATTCAAGTCACAGAGTGCAACATTCCTCTTGATAGAGCAGTTGGGAAACACTGCTTTTTTAGAATTTGCAATGGGATATTTGGACTTCTTTGAGGCCTTCGTTGGAAACGGGATTTCTTCGTATGAATCTAGACAGAAGAATTCTCAGAAACTTCCTTGTGATGTGTGCATTCAACTCAGCGAGTGGCACCTTCCTTTGGATACAGCAGTTTTGAAACACTGTTTTTGTACTATTTCCAAGCGGATATTTAGAGCGCCTTGAAGCCTATGCTAGAAATGGAAATATCTCCCCATAAAACCAAGACAGAAGCAATCTCAGAAACTAATGTGTGATGGCTGCATTCCACACACACGGTGGACCATTTCTCTTGATAGAGCAGTTTTGAAACACTCTTTCTGTAGAATCTGCAAGTGGATAATTGGACCTCCTAGAGGCCTTCGTTGGAAACGGGATTTCTTCATCTAAACCTACAGAGAAGAATTCTCAGTAACTTCTTCGGATGTGTGCATTCGACTCACAGAATGGAACATTCCGTTTGATAGAGCAGTTTTGAGACACCGTTTTTGTAGAATTCCCAAGTGGATATTTAGAGCACTTTGAAGTCTCTGCTAGAAAAGGAAACATCTTCATGTAAAAAGTAGATACAATCGTTCTCAGAAAGTGCTTAGTGACGTGTGTGTTCAACTCACAGAGTTTAACGTTTCTTTTGATAGAGCGTTTCTGAAACACCCTTCTTGTAGTAGCTGCAAGTGGATATTTGGACCTATTTGAGGCCTTCTTTGGAAACGGGATTTCTTCATGTAACTCTAGATTGAAGAATTTTCAGAAACTCCTTTGTGATGTGTGCATTCAATTCAAAGAGTGAAACCTCCCTTTTCACAGAGCAGTTTTGAAACACTGTTTTTGTAGGATTTCCAAGGGGATATTTATAGCGCATTGAGCCTACGGCAGAAAAAGAAACATCTTCCTATAAAAACTAGACAGAATAATTCTCAGAATCTGCTTTGCGATGTGTGCGTTCAACTCACAGAGTAAAACTTTTCTTTTGATAGAGCAGTTTTGAAACACTCTTTTTGTAGTATTTGCATGTGTATATTTAGAGCGCATTGAAGCCCACAGTAGAAAAGGAAATAACTTCACCTAAAACCTAGACAGAAGCAATCTCAGAAACTACTTTGTGATGTGTACATTCAACTCACAGAGTGGAACTTTTCTCTTTATAGAGCAGTGTTGAAACACTCTTTTTGTAGAAACTGCAAGTGGATATTTGGACCTCTTTGAGGCCTTCGTTGGAAACGGGATTTCTTCCTATAACCCTAGACAGAAGAATTTTCAGAAACCTCATTGTGATGTGTGCGTTCATCTCACAGAGTGGAGTCTTCCGTTTGATAGAGAAGTTTTGAAACCCTGTTCTTGTAGGATTTCCAAGTGGATATTTAGACCACTTTGAAGCCTATGATAGAAAAGGAAACATCTTCATGGAAAACATAGATAGAATCATTCTCAGAAACAACTTTGTGATGTGTGCGTTGAACTCACCGTCTTTAACCTTTCTTTTGGTAGAGAAGTTTTGAAACACTCTCTTTGTAAAGTCTACAAGTGGATATTTTGAGCCCTTGGAGGCATTCTTTGGAAAAGGGAATGTCTTCACATAAAAGGCAGACAGAAGTGTTCTCAGAAACTGCTTTGTGATGTCTGTGTTCAACTCACAGAGTTTAACATTTCCTTTGAGAGAGCGGTTTAGTAACACTCTCTTTGTAGAATTTGGAAGTGTATACTAAGAGCGCTTTGAGGCCTATGGTAGAAAAGGAAATATCTTTCCATAAAAGCTAGACAGAAGCAATCTCAGAAACTCCTTTGTGATGTCTGCATTCAACTCACCGAGTGGAACATTCCTCTTGATAGAGCAGTTTGGAAACACTCTTTCTGTAGAATCAGCTTGTTTGTATTTGGACCTCCTTGAGGCCTTCGTTGGAAACGGGTTTTCATCTTATAAACCCAGACAGAAGAATTCTCAGAGTCTTCTTTGTGATGTGTGCTTTCAACTCACCGAGATAAAGATTTCTCTTGATAGAGCAATTTGGAAACACTCTTTTTGTAGAATTTGCAAGGGTACATTGAGAGCGCTTTCAGGCCTATGGTAGAAAAGGGAATATCTTTCCATAAAAGGTAGACAGAAGCAATCTCAGAAACTACTTTGTGATGTGTGCATTCAACTCACCGAGTGCAACATTCCTCTTGATAGAGCAGTTTGGAAACATTGTTTCTGTAGAATCTGCAAGTGGATATATGGACCGCTTTGAGGCCTTCGTTGGAAACGGGATTTCTTCCTATAAACCCAGACAGAAGAATTCTCAGAGACTTCTTTGTGATGTGTGAATTCAACTCACAGTGTGGATCCTTCCTTTTGATAGAGCAGTTTTGAAACACTGTTTTTGTAGTATTTCCAAGCGGATATTTGGAACGCCTTGAAGCGTATGGTAGAAAAGGAAATATCTTCCCATAAAACCTAGACAGAACCCATCTCAGAAACGACTTTGTGATGTCTGCATTCAACTCACAGAGTTGAACATTTCTCTTGATAGAGCAGTTTTGAAACCCTCTTTCTGAAGGATCTGCAAGTGGATATTTGGAACTCCTTTGGGTCTTCGTTGGAAACGGGATTTCTTCGTATAAATCCAGACAGAAGAATTCTCCGAAACTTCTTTGGTTGTGTGCATTCAAGTCACAGAGTGGAACCTTCCTTTGGATAGAGCAGTTTGAAACGCTGTGGTTGTAGTATTTCCAAGCGGATATTAGAGCGCCTTGAAGCCTATGGTAGAAAAGGAAATATCTTCCCATAAAACCTAGACGGAAGCAATCTCAGAAACTACTGTGTGATGGCTGCATTCCACACACACGGTGGAACATTTCTCTTGATAGAGCAGTTTTGAAACACTCTTTCTGTAGAATCTGCAAGTGGATAATTGGACCGCCTTGAGGCCTTCGTTGGAAACGGGATTTCTTCATGTTACTCTAGACAGAAGAATTCTCAAACACTACTATGTGATGTTTGCATGCAAGTCACAGAGTGCAACATTCCTCTTGATAGAGCAGTTGGGAAACACTCCTTTTGTAGAATTTGCAATGGGATATTTGGACTTCTTTGAGGCCTTCGTTGGAAACGGGATTTCTTCGTATGAATCTAGACAGAAGAATTCTCAGAAACTTCCTTGTGATGTGTGCATTCAACTCAGCGAGTGGCACCTTCCTTTGGATACAGCAGTTTTGAAACACTGTTTTTGTAGTATTTCCAAGCGGATATTTAGAGCGCCTTGAAGCCTATGCTAGAAATGGAAATATCTCCCCATAAAACCAAGACAGAAGCAATCTCAGAAACTAATGTGTGATGGCTGCATTCCACACACACGGTGGACCATTTCTCTTGATAGAGCAGTTTTGAAACACTCTTTCTGTAGAATCTGCAAGTGGATAATTGGACCTCCTAGAGGCCTTCGTTGGAAACGGGATTTCTTCATCTAAACCTACAGAGAAGAATTCTCAGTAACTTCTTCCGGATGTGTGCATTCGACTCACAGAATGGAACATTCCCTTTGATAGAGCAGTTTTGAGACACCGTTTTTGTAGAATTCCCAATTGGATATTTAGAGCACTTTGAAGTCTCTGCTAGAAAAGGAAACATCTTCATGTAAAAAGTAGATAGAATCGTTCTCAGAAAGTGCTTAGTGACGTGTGTGTTCAACTCACAGAGTTTAACGTTTCTTTTGATAGAGCGTTTCTGAAACACCCTGCTTGTAGTAGCTGCAAGTGGATATTTGGACCTATTTGAGGCCTTCTTTGGAAACGGGATTTCTTCATGTAACTCTAGTTTGAAGAATTTTCAGAAACTCCTTTGTGATGTGTGCATTCAATTCAAAGAGTGAAACCTCCCTTTTCACAGAGCAGTTTTGAAACACTGTTTTTGTAGGACTTCCAAGGGGATATTTATAGCGCATTGAGCCTATGGCAGAAAAAGAAACATCTTCCTATAAAAACTAGACAGAATAATTCTCAGAATCTGCTTTGCGATGTGTGCGTTCAACCCACAGAGTAAAACTTTTCTTTTGATAGAGCAGTTTTGAAACACTCTTTTTGTAGTATTTGCATGTGTATATTTAGAGCGCATTGAAGCCCAAAGTAGAAAAGGAAATAACTTCACCTAAAACCTAGACAGAAGCAATCTCAGAAACTACTTTGTGATGTGTACATTCAACTCACAGAGTGGAACTTTTCTCTTTATAGAGCAGTGTTGAAACACTCTTTTTGTAGAAACTGCAAGTGGATATTTGGACCTCTTTGAGGCCTTCGTTGGAAACGGGATTTCTTCCTATAACCCTAGACAGAAGAATTTTCAGAAACCTCATTGTGATGTGTGCGTTCATCTCACAGAGTGGAGTCTTCCGTTTGATAGAGAAGTTTTGAAACCCTGTTCTTGTAGGATTTCCAAGTGGATATTTAGACCACTTTGAAGCCTATGATAGAAAAGGAAACATCTTCATGGAAAACATAGATAGAATCATTCTCAGAAACAACTTTGTGATGTGTGCGTTGAACTCACCGTCTTTAACCTTTCTTTTGGTAGAGAAGTTTTGAAACACTCTCTTTGTAAAGTCTACAAGTGGATATTTTGAGCCCTTGGAGGCATTCTTTGGAAAAGGGAATGTCTTCACATAAAAGGCAGACAGAAGTGTTCTCAGAAACTGCTTTGTGATGTCTGTGTTCAACTCACAGAGTTTAACATTTCCTTTGATAGAGCAGTTTAGTAACACTGTCTTTGTAGAATTTGGAAGTGTATACTAAGAGCGCTTTGAGGCCTATGGTAGAAAAGGAAATATCTTTCCATAAAAGCTAGACAGAAGCAATCCCAGAAACTCCTTTGTGATGTCTGCATTCAACTCACCGAGTGGAACATTCCTCTTGATAGAGCAGTTTGGAAACACTCTTTCTGTAGAATCAGCTTGTTTGTATTTGGACCTCCTTGAGGCCTTCGTTGGAAACGGGTTTTCCTCTTATAAACCCAGACAGAAGAATTCTCAGAGTCTTCTTTGTGATGTGTGCTTCCAACTCACCGAGATAAAGATTTCTCTTGATAGAGCAATTTGGAAACACTCTTTTTGTAGAATTTGCAAGGGTACATTGAGAGCGCTTTCAGGCCTATGGTAGAAAAGGGAATATCTTTCCATAAAAGGTAGACAGAAGCAATCTCAGAAACTACTTTGTGATGTGTGCATTCAACTCACCGAGTGCAACATTCCTCTTGACCGAGCAGTTTGGAAACATTGTTTCTGTAGAATCTGCAAGTGGATATTTGGACCTCTTTGAGGCCTTCGTTGGAAACGGGATTTCTTCCTATAAACCCAGACAGAAGAATTCTCAGAGACTTCTTTGTGATGTGTGAATTCAACTCACAGTGTGGATCCTTCCTTTTGATAGAGCAGGTTTGAAACACTGTTTTTGTAGTATTTCCAAGCGGATATTTGGAACGCCTTGAAGCGCATGGTAGAAAAGGAAATATCTTCCCATAAAACCTAGACAGAACCAATCTCAGAAACGACTTTGTGATGTCTGCATTCAACTCACAGAGTTGAACATTTCTCTTGATAGAGCAGTTTTGAAACCCTCTTTCTGAAGGATCTGCAAGTGGATATTTGGAACTCCTTTGGGTCTTCGTTGGAAACGGGATTTCTTCGTATAAATCTAGACAGAAGAATTCTCCGAAACTTCTTTGGTTGTGTGCATTCAAGTCACAGAGTGGAACCTTCCTTTGGATAGAGCAGTTTGAAACGCTGTGGTTGTAGTATTTCCAAGCGGATATTAGAGCGCCTTGAAGCCTATGGTAGAAAAGGAAATATCTTCCCATAAAACCTAGACGGAAGCAATCTCAGAAACTACTGTGTGATGGCTGCATTCCACACACACGGTGGAACATTTCTCTTGATAGAGCAGTTTTGAAACACTCTTTCTGTAGAATCTGCAAGTGGATAATTGGACCGCCTTGAGGCCTTCGTTGGAAACGGGATTTCTTCATGTTACTCTAGACAGA
>NC_000006.12:61363066-61370554 GCF_000001405.40 Homo sapiens
TAATCTTGTGGTGTGCCGTTTTTTAAGCCGGTCAGAAAAGCTCAGTATTCGGGTGGGAGTGACCCGATTTTCCAGGTGCGTCCGTCACCCCTTTCTTTGACTCGGAAAGGGAACTCCCTGACCCCTTGCACTTCCCAAGTGAGGCAATGTCTCGCCCTGCTTCAGCTCGCGCATGGTGCACACACCCACTGACCTGCGCCCACTGTCTGGCACCCCCTAGTGAGATGATCCCGGTACCTCGGATGGAACTGCAGAAATCACCCTTCTTCTGCATCGCTCACGCTGGGAGCTGTAGACTAGAGCTGTTCCTATTCAGCCATCGTGGCTCCTCCCCCTGAATCTTTCTTTTGATACAGCAGTTTTGAAACACACTTTTCGTATAATCTGCAAGTGGATACTTGGAGCGTTTTCATGCCAATGGTAAAAAGGGAATTGTCTTCATATAAAAATCAGACAGACTTATTCTCAGAGACTTCTTTGTGATGTGTGCATTCAACTAACAGAGTTGAACTTTTCTTTTGATAGAGCAGTTTTGCAACACTCTTTTTGTAGAATCTGCAAGTGGATATTTGGAGTTCTTTGAGGCCTACGTTGGAAAAGGAAATATCTTCACGTAAAAACTAGAAAGAAACATTCTCAGAAACTTCTTTGTGATATGTGCATTCAATTCACAGAGTTGAAACTTCCTTTTGACAGGGCAGTTTTGAAACACTCTTTTTGTAGAATCTGCAAGTGGATATTTGGAGTGCTTTGACGCCTATGGTAGAAGAGGAAACATCTTCGTATAAAGACTAGACAGAAGCATTCTCAGAAACTTCTTTGTGATATTTGAATTCAACTCACAGAGTTGAATATTCCTTTTAATAGAGCAGTTTTGAAACACTCTTTTTGTGGATTCTACAAGGGGATATTTGGACCACTTTGAAGCCTTCATTGGAAATGGGTATATCTTCACATAAAAACCAGACAGAAGCATTCTCAGAAATTTCTTGTGAGGTGTGGATTCAACTCACAGTTTTGAACCTTTCTATTCATAGAGCAGTTTTGAAACACGCTTTTTGTAGAATCTGCAAGTGTATATATGGCTCCCTTTGAGACCTATGTTGGAAAAGGAAATGTCTTCACATAAAAACTAGAAAGAATCATTCTCAGAAACTGCTTTTTGATGTATGCTTTCAACTCACAGAGTTGAATATTCCTTTTGATAGAACAGTTTTGAATCACTCTTTTTGTAGAATCTGCAAGTGGATATTTGGAGCGCTTTGAGGCCTTCTTTGGAAACGGCAATATCTTCACATAAAAAGCAGACAGAAGTATTCTTAGAAACTTCTTTGTGATGTCTGCACTCAACTCACAGAGTTGAACCTTCCTTTTGATAGAGCAGTTTTGAAACACTCTTTTGTAGAATTGCAAGTGGATATTTAGAGCGCTTTGAGGCCTATGGTAGAATAGAAAGTGTCTTCATATAAAAAGTAGACAGAAGCATTCTCAGAAACTACATTGTGATGTTTGCATTCAACTCACAGAACTGAACATTTCTTTTGATAGAGCAGTTTTGGAACCCTCTTTTTGTGGAATCTGCAAGTGGATATATTGTTCTCTTTGAGGCCTATGTTGCAAAAGGAAATATCTTCATGTAAAAACTAGAAAGAAACATTCTCAGAAACTTCTTTGCTATTTGCGCATTTAGCTCACACAGTTGAACTTTTCTTTTGATAGAGCAGTTTTGAAACACACTTTTTGTAGAATCTTAAAGTGGATATTTGGAGCGCTTTGAGGCCTACAGAAGAAAATGTAATATCTTCATATGAAAACTGGACAGAAGCATTCTCAGAAACTTCTTTGTGATGTTTGCATTCAACTCACAGAGTTGAACATTCCTTTTGATAGAGCAGTTTTGAAACACTCTTTTTTTGGAATGTGAAAGTGGATATTTGGACCGCTTTGTGGCCTTCATTGGAAACGGGAATATCTTCACATAAAAATTAGACAGAGATATTCTCAGAAACTTCTTTGTGATGTCTGCATTCAACTCACAGATTTGAACCTTCCTTTTGATAGAGCAGTTTAGAAACACTCTTTTTGTAGTATTTGCAAGTGGATATTTAGAGCGTTTTTTGGTCTATTTTAGAATAGGAAATATCTTAATATAAAAACTAGACAGAAGCATTCTCAGAAACTACTCTGTGAAGTTTGCATTCAACTCACACAGCTGAACATTCCTTTTGATAGAACAGGTTTGTAACACTCTTTTTGTGGAATCTGCCAGTGCATAATTGGACCGCTTTGAGGCTTTCATTGGAAACAGAAATAATTTCACATAAAAACTTGAAATAAACATTCTGAGAAAATCCTTTGTGATGTGTGCATTCAACTCACAGAGTAGAACCTTTCTTTTGATAGAGAAGTTTTGAAACACACTTTTTTTAGAATGTGCAAGTGGATACATGGAGCGCTTTGATGTCAATGGTAAAAAGGGAATTATCTTCATATAAAAAGTAGATAGAACCATTCTCAGAGACTTCTTTGTGATGTGTGCATTCAACTCACAGAGTTGAACCTTCCTTTTTATAGAGCAGTTTTGAGACACTCTTTTTGTAGAATCTGCAAGTGGACATTTCTTTCCTTTTGAAGCCTATGTTGGAAAAGGAATTATCTTCAGATAAAAACTAGAAAGAAACATTCTCAGAAACTTCTTTGTGATGCGTGTATTCAGCTCACAGAATTGAACCTTTCTTTTGATAGAGCAGTTTTGAAACACTCTTTTTGTAGAATCTGCAAGTGGATATGTGGCTCCCTTTGAAGACTATGTTGGAAAAGGAAATATCTTCACATAAACACTAGAAAGAATCATTCTCAGAAACTTATTTTTGATGGGTGCTTTCAGCTTACAGAGTTGAACCTTCCTTTTGATAGAGCAGTTTTGAAACACTCTTTTTGTAGAATCTTCAAGTGGGAATTTGGAGCGCTTGGAGGCCTGTGGAAGAAGAGGAAATATCTTCATATAAAAAGTAGACAGAAGCATTCTGAGAAACTTCTTTGTGATGTTTGCATTCATCTCACAGAGTTGAACATTCCTTTTGATAGAATAGTTTTGTAACTCTCTTTTTGTGGAATCTGCAAGTGGATATTTGGACCGCTTTGAGGCTTTCGTTGGAAACGGGAATATCCTCACCTAAAAACCAGACAGAAGCATTCTCAGAAACCTCTTTGCAATGTGTGCATTCAATTCACAGAGTTTAACTTTTCTTTTGATAGGGYAGTTTTGAAACACTATTTTTGTACAATCTGCTAGTGGATATTTGATTCCCTTTGAGGCCTAAGTTGGAAAAAGAATTATCTTCACATAAAAACTAGAAAGAAACATTCTCAGAAATTTCTTTGTGATGTGTGCATTCAACTGACAGAGTTGAAACTTCTTTTGATACAACAGTTTTGAAACACTCTGTTGTAAAGTCTGCAAGTGGATATTTGGTGCGCCTTGAGACCTTCTTTGGAAACGAGAATATCTTCACATAAAAGATAGACAGAGGTAGTCTCAGAAACTTCTTTGTGATGTCTGCATTCAACTCACAGAGGTGAACCTTCCTTTTGATTGAGCAGTTTTGAAAGACTCTTTTTGTAGAATTTCCAAGTGGATATTTAGAGCACTTTGATGCCTATGGTAGAAAAGGAAATATCTTGATAGAAAAACTAGACAGAATCATTCTCAGAAACTACTTTGTGATGTGTGCGTTCAACTCACAGAGTTTAACCTTTCTTTACATAGAGCAGTTTTGAAACACTCTTTTTGTAGAATTTGCATGTGGATATTTGGAACGCTTTGAGGCCTGTGGTAGAAAAGGAAATATCCTCATATAAAAACTAGGTAGAATGATTCTCAGAAACTACTATGTGATGTGTGCGTTCACCTCACAGAGTTGAACATTCCTTTTGATAGAGCAGTTTTGTAACACTTTTTGTAGAATCTGCAAGTGTATATTTGGACCGCATGGAGGCCTTCGTGGGAAATGGGAATTTATTCAAATTAAAACTAGACAGATGAAGTCTCAGAAACTCCTTTTGATGTGTGCACTCAACTCACAGAGTTCAACCTTCCTTTGGAAAGAGCAGTTTTGAAACACTCTTTTTCTAGAATTTGCAAGTGGATATTTAGAGCGCTTTGAGGCCTATGGTGGAAAAGGAAATATCTTCATATAAAAATTAGACAGAATGATTCTCAGAAACTACTTTGTGATGTTTGTGTTCTACTCACAGAGTTGAACCTTTCCTTTGATAGAGCAGTTTTGAAACACACTTTCTGTAGAATATGCAAGTGGATATTTGGACCGCTTTGAAGCCTTCGGTGGAAAAGGGAATATCTTCAAATAAAAAGTAGACAGAAGCATTCACAGAAACTTCTTTATGATGTGTGCATTCAATTTAAATAGTTGAACTTTTCTTTTGATAGAGCAGTTTTGAAACACTCTTTTTTAGAATCTGCAAGTGGATAGGTGGCTCCCTTTGAGGCGTATGTTGGAAAAGGAAATATCTTCACATAAAAACTAGAAAGAATTATTCTCAGAAACTGCTTTTTGATATGTGCTTTCTACTCACAGAGTTCAACCTTCCTTTTCATAGAGCTGTTTTGAAACATTCTTTTTGTTGAATCTGCAAGTGGATATTTGGAGCACTTTGAGGCCTTCTTTGGAAACGGAAATATCTTCAAATAGAAAGTAGACAGAAGTATTCTCTGAAACTTCTTTGTGATGTCTGCACTCAACTCACAGATTTGAACATTCCTTTTGATAGAGCAGTTTTGAAACACTCTTTTTGAGGAATCTGCAAGTGGATATTTTGTTCCCTTTGAGGCCTTTATTGGAAAAAGAAATATCTTCACATAAAATCTTGAAAGAAACATTCTCAGAAACTTCTTTGTGATATATGCATTCAACTCACACAGTTGAACCTTCATTTTGATAGAGCAGTTTTGAAACACACTTTTTGTAGAATCTTCAAGTGGATATTTGGAGCGCTTTGGGGCCTATGGTAGAAAAGGAAATATCTACATATAACAAGTAGACAGAAGAATTCTAAGAAACTTCTTTGTTATGTTTGCATTCAACTCACAGAGTTGGACACTCCTTTTGATAGGGCAGTTTTGAAACATTCTTTTTGTGGAATCTGCAATTGGATATTTGGACCGATTTGAGGCCTTTGTTGAAAGGAGAATATCCTCACATAAAAAGCAAACAGAAGCATTCTCAGAAACTTCATTGCGATGTGTGCATTCAACGCACCGAGTTGAACTTTTCTTTTGATAGAGTAGTTTTGAAACACTCTTTTTGTGGAATCTACAAGAAGATATTTGGACCGCTTTGAAGCCTTTGTTGGAAACGAGAATATCTTCCTATAAAAACCAGACAGAAGCATTCTCAGAAACTTCTTTGTGAGGTGTGCATTCGTCTCACAGACTTGAAACTTTCTATTCATAGAGCAGTTTTGAAACACTCTTTTTGTAGAATCCATAAGTTGATATATGGCTCCCTTTGAGACCTATGTCGGAAAAGGAAATATCTTCAAATAAAAACGAGAAAGAAATATTCTCAGAAACTTCTTTTGATGTGTGCTTTCAACTCGCAGAGTTGAAACTTCCTTTTGATAGAGCAGTTTTCAAACACTCTTTTTGTGGAATCAGCAAGTGGATATTAGATTCCTTTTGAGGCCAATGTTGGAAAAGGAATTATCTTCATATAAAAACTAGAAAGAAACATTCTCAGAAACTTCTTTGTCATTTGTGCATTCAACTCACAGAGTTGAACCTTCCTTTTGATAGAGTAGCTTTGAAACACTCTGTTTGTAAAGTCTGCAAGTGATTATTTGGAGCGCTTTGAGGCCTCTTTGGAAACGGGAATATGTTCACATAAAAAGTAGACAGAAGTATTCTCAGAAACTCCTTTGCGATGTCTGCACTCAACTCACAGAGTGGAACCTTCGTTTTGATAGAGCAGTTTTGAAACACTATTTTTGTAGAATCTTCAAGTGGATATTTGGAGCTCTTTGAGTCCTATGGTAGAAAAGGAAATATCTTCGTATAAAAACTAGACAGAAGCATTCTGAGAAACTTCTTTGTGATGTTTGCATTCAACTCACAGAGTTGAACATTCCTCTTGATAGAACAGTTTTGAAACACACTTTTGGTGGAATCTGCATGTGGATATTTGGAAAGTTTTGAGACCTTCGTTGGAAACAGAAATACCTTCACATAAAAACCAGACAGAAGAATTCTCAGAAACTTCTTTGCGTTGTGTGCATTCAACTCACAGAGTTGAAATTTACCTTTGACAGAGCAGTTTTGAAACACTCTTTTTGTAGAATATGCAAGTAGATATTTGATTCCCTCTGAGGCCTATGTTGGAAAAGGAATTATCTTCACATAAAAACTGGAAGGAAATATTCTCAGATACTTCTTTGTGATGTGTGCATTCAACTCACAGAGTTGAACCTTCCTTTGGTTAGAGCAGTTTTGAAACACTCTTTTTAAAAGTCTGCAAGTGGATATTTTGAGCGCTTTGAGGTCTTTTTGGGAAACAGGAATATCTTCACATAAAAAGTAGACAGAAGTATTCTCAGAAACTTATTTGTGATGTCTGCACTCAACTCACAGAGTTGAACCTTCCTTTTGATAGAGCAGTTTCAAAACACTCTTTTTGTAGAATTTGCTAGTGTGTATTTAGAGGGCTTTGAGGTCTATGGTAGAAAAGGAAATTTCTTCACAGAGAAACTAGACTGAATCATTCTCAGAAACTACTTTGTGATGTGCGCTTTCAGCTCACAGAGTTTAACCTTTCTTTTGATAGAACAGTATTGATACACTGTTTGTAAACTCTGCAAGTAGATATTTCGAGCGCTTTGAGGGTTCTTGGGAAACGGGAATATCTTCACATAAAAAGCAGACAGAAGTATTCTCAGAAACTTCTTTGCGATGTCTGCACTCAACTCACAGAGTTGAACCTTCCTTTTGATAGATCAGTTTTGAAACACTCTTTTTGTAGTATTTGCAAGTGGATATTTAGAGTGCTTTGAGGCCTATGGTAGGAAAGGAAATTTCTTCCTATAAAAACTAGACAGAATCATTCTCAGAAACTACTTTGTGATGTGTGCGTTCAAATCACAGAGTTTAAACTTTCTGTTGATTGAGCAGTTTTGAAGCACTCTGTAAAGTCTGCAAGTGAATATTTGGAGCACTTTGAGGCCTTCTTTGGAAATGGGAGTACCTTCATATAAAATGTAGACAGAAGTATTCTTAGAAACTTCTTTGTGATGTCTGCACTGAACACAGAGAGTTGAACCTTCCTTTTGATAGTGCAGTTTTGAAACACTCTTTTTGTAGAATTTGCAAGTGAATATTTAGAGGGCTTTGGGGCCTATGGTAGAAAAGGAAATATCTTCATAGAAAAACTACACAGAATCATTCTCAGAAACTACTTTGTGATGTTTGCATTCAAC
>NC_000006.12:61371372-61378482 GCF_000001405.40 Homo sapiens
GATGTTTGCATTCAACTCACAGAGTTCAACTTTCCTTTCGATAGAGCAGTTTTGAAACACTCTTTTTGTAGAATCTGCAAGTGGATATTTGGATCTCTTTGAGGCATTAGAAGGAATCGGAAATATCTTCACATAAAAACTAGACAGAAGAATTCGCAGAAACATTTTGAGATGTGTGCATTCAAGTCATAGAGTTGAACCTTCCTTTTGATAGAGCAGTTTGGAAATACTCTTTTTGTAGAATTTCCGAGTGGATATTTAGAGCGCTTTGAAGTGTATGGTAAAAAAGGAAATATCTTCATATAAAAAAAAGTCAGAATCATTCTCAGAAACTACTTTGTGATGTGTGCATTCAACGCATAGAGTTTAACATTTCTTTTGATAGAGCAGTTTGGAAACACTCTTTTTGTGTAGTCTGCAAGTGGATATGTGGAGCGCTTTGAGACCTTCTGTGGAAACGGGGGTATCTTCACATAAAAAAAAGACAGAAGTATTCTCAGAAAGTTCTTCGTGATGTCTACACTCAACTCACAGAGTTGAACCTTCTTTTTGATAGAGCAGTTTTGAAACACTCTTTTTCTAGAATTTGCAAGTGGATATTTCAAGCGCTTTGAGGCCTATGGTAGAAATTGAAATACTTTCATATAAAAACTAGACAGAATAATTCTCAGAAACTACGTTATGATGTGTGAGTTCAACTGACAGAGTTTATCCTTTCTTTTAAAAGAGCAGTTTTGAAACACTCTTTTTGTAGTATTTGCAAGTGTATATTTAGAGTGTTTTGAGGCCTATGGTAGAAAAGGAAATATCTTCACAGAAAAAATATACAGAAGTATTCTGACAAACTACTTTTGATGTTTGCATTCAACTCACAGAGTTGAACATTCCTCTTGATAGAGCATTTTTAAAACACTCTTTTTGTAGAATCAGCAAGTGGATATTTGGACCTTTTTGAGGCCTTCTTTGGAAACGGGATTTCTTCATATAAAACTAGAGAGAAGAATTCTCAGATACTTCTTTGTAATGTGTGTATTGAACTCACAGGGTTGAAACTTCCTTTCGATAGAGCAGTTTTGAATCCCTCTTCTTGTAGAATTTCCAAGTGAATATTTAGAGCTCTTGGAGGCCTGTGGTAGAAAAGGAAATATCTTCATATAAAAACTAGACAGAATCATTCTCAGAAACTACTTTGTGATGTGTGCGTTCAACTCACAGTGTTTAACCATTCCTTTGGTAGAGCAGTTTTGAAACACTATTTTTTTAGAATTTGCAATTGTGTATTTAGAGGGCTTTGAGGCCTATGGTAGAAAAGGAAATATGATCATATGAAAACTAGACAGAAGCATTCTCAGAAACTACTTTTTGATGTTTGCATTCAACTCACAGAGTTCAACATTCCTTTTGATAGAGCACGTTTGAAATACTCTTTTTGTAGAATCTGCAAGTGGATATTTGGACCTCTTTGAGGCCTTCGTTGGAAACGGGAAATTTTCACATAAAAACTAGACAGAAGAATTCTCCAAAACTTTTTGCGATGTGTGCATTCAACTCACAGAGTTGAACCTTCCTTTTGATAGAGCAGTTTTGAAAACTCTTTTTGTAGAATTTCCAAATGTATATTTAGAGCGATTTGAAGCCAATGGTAGAAAAGGAAATATCTTCATATAAAAACTAGACAGAATCTTTCTCAGAAACTACTTTGTGACGTGTGCATTCAACTCACAGAGTTTAACCTTTCTTTTGCTAGAGCAGTTTTGAAACACTCTGTTTGTAAAGTCTGCAAGTGGATTTTTGGAAAGCTTTGAGGCTTTCTTTGGAAACGGTAATATCTTTACATAAAAGGTAGACAGAAGTATTCTCAGAAACTTCTTTGTGATGCCTGCATTCAACTCAGAGAGTTGATCCTTCCTTTTGATAGAGCAGTTTTGAAACACTCTTTTTGTAGAATTTCCAAGTGGACATTTAGAGCACTCTGTGGCCTATGGAAGAAAAGGAAATAGCTTCATATAAAAACTAGACAGAATCATTCTCAGAAACTGCTTAGTGTTGTATGTTTTCAACTCACAGAGTTTAAGCTTTCTTTTGATAGAGGAGTTTTGAAACACTCTTTTTGTAGAATTTGCAGGTGTATATTTAGAGCGCTTGAAGGCCTATGGTAGAAAAGGCAATATCTTCACATAAAAACTAGACAAAAGCATTCTCAAAAAGTACTTTGTGATGTTTGCATTCAACTCACAGAGTTCAACATTCCCTTTGATAAAGCAGTTTTGAAACACTCTTTTTGTAGAATCTGCAAGTTGACACTTGGACTTCTTTGAGGCTTTCATTGGAAAGGGGAATTTCTTCACGTAAAAACTAGACAGAAGAATTCTCAGAAACTTTTTGTGATGTGTGCATTCAACTCATAGAGTTGAACCTTGCTTTTGTTAGAGCAGTTTTGAAACATTCTTTTTGTAGAATTTGCAAGTGTATATTTAGAGCGCTTTGAGGCATATGGTGGAAAAGGCAATATCTTCACATAAAAACTAGACAGAAGCACTGTCAGAAACTACTTTGTAATATTTGCATTCAACTCACAGAGTTCAACATTCGCTTTGATAGAGCAGTTTTTGAAACACTCTTTTTGTAGAAACTGCAAGAGTATATTTGGACCTCTTTGAGGCCTTCGTTGGAAAGGGGAAATTCTTTACAAATAAACTAGACAGAAGAATTCTCAGAAATTACTTTGTGATGTGTTCATTCAACTCACAGATTTGAGCCTTCCTTTTGATAGAGCAGTTTTGAAACCCTCTTTTTATAGAATTTCCAAGTGAATATTTGGAGCGCCTGGAGGCCTGCGGCATAAAAAGAAATATCATCATAGAAAAACTAGAAAGAATCATTCTCAGAAACTACTTTGTGATGTGTGAGTTTAACTCACAGAGTTTAACATTTGTTTTGATAGACCAGTTTTGAAACGCTCTTTTTGTAGAATTTGCTGGTGTGTTTTTAGAGGACTTTGAGGCCTAAGGTAGAAAAGGAAATTTCTTCACAGAAAAACTAGACGGAATCATTCTCAGAAACTACTTTGTAATGTGTGCTTTCAGCTCACAGAGTTTAACTTTTCTTTTGATAAAACAGCTTTGAAACACTGTGTTTGTATTCTCTGCAAGTGGATATTTGGAGAGCTTTGAGGCCTTCTTTGGAAACGGGAATATCTTCACATAAAAATTAGACAGAAGTATTCTCAGAAACTTCTTTGGGATGTCTGCATTCAACTCACAGAGTTGAACCTTCCTTTTTATAGAGCTGTTTTGATACACTCTTTTTGTAGAATTTGCAAGTGGATATTTAGAGCGCTATGGGGCCTATGGTAGAAAAGGAAATATCTTCATAGAAAAACTACACAGAATCATTCTCGGAAACTACTTTGTGATGTTTGCATTCAACTCACAGAGTTGAGCATTCCTTTTGATAGAGCAGTTTTATAACACTCCTTTTGTAGCATCTGTATGTGGATATGTGGACCTTTTTGAGGACTTCTTTGGAAACGGGAATTTCTTCTATAAAAACGAGACAGAGGACTTCTCAGAAACTTCTTTGTGATGTGTGCATTGAACTCAGGGTGATGAACCTTCCTTTCGATACACGAGTTTTGAAACACTCTTTTTGTACAATTTCCAAGTGGAAATTTAGAGCGATTTGTGGCCTATGGTAGAAAATGAAATATCTTCATATAAAAACTAGAGAGAATAATTCTCAGTAACTACTTCGTGATGTGTGCATTCAACTCACAGAGTTTAACATTTCTTTTGATAGAGCAGTTTTGAAACACTCTTTTTGTAGAATTTGCAAGTGGATATTTAGAGCACTTTGAGGCCTATGGCATAAAAGGAAATATCTTCACATAAAAGCTAGACAGAAGCATTCTCAGAAACTACTTTTTGATGTTTGATTAAACTCACAGAGTTGAACATTGCTCTTGATAGAGCAGTTTTGAAACACTTTTTTTGTAGAATCTCCAAGTGGATATTTGGACCTCCTTGAGGCCTTTGTTGGAAACGGGAATTCTTCATATAAAACTAGACAGAAGAATTCTCAGAAATTTCTTTGTGATGTGTGCATTCAACTAACAGAGCTGAACCTACCTTTCGATAGAGCAGTTTTGAAAAACTCTTTTTGTAGAATTTCCAAGTGAATGTGTAGAGTGCTTGGAGGCATATGGTAGAAAAGGAAATATTTTCATATAAAAACTAGACAGAGTCATTCTCAGAAACTACTTTGTGATGTGTGCATTAAACTCACCGAGTTTAACTGTTGTTCTGATAGAGCAGTTTTGAAACACTCTTTTTGTAGAATTTGCAAGTGTGTATTTAGAGGGTTTTGAGGCCTCTGGTATAAAAGGAAATATATTCACATAAAAACTAGACAGAAATGTTCTCAGAAACTACTTTGTGATGTTTGCATTCAACTGAGAGAGTTCAACATTCCTTTTGATAGAGCACGTATGAAACACTCTTTTTGTTGAATCTGCAAGTGGATATTTGGACCTCTTTGGGGCCTTCTTTGGAAACGGTAATTTTTTCACATGAAAAGTAGACCGAAGAATTCTCCAAAACTTTTTGGGGTGTGTGCGTTCATCTTACAGAGTTTAATCTTTCTTTTGATAGAGCAGTTTTGAAACACTCTGTTTGTAAATTCTGCAAGTGGATATTTGGAGGGCTTTGAGGCCTTATATGGAAACGGGAATATCTTCACATAAAAAGTAGACAGAAGTATTCTCAGAAACTTCCTTATGATGTCTGCACTCAACTCACACAATTGAACCTTCCTTTTGATAGAGCAGTTTTGAAACACTCTTTTTGTAGAATTTACAAGTGCATATGTAGAGCGCTTTGAGGCCTATGGCAGAAAAGGAAATCTATTCATATAAAAACTAGACAGAATCATTCTCAGAAACTACTTTGTGATGTATGCATTCAACTCACAGAGTTTAAACTTTATTTGATAGAGCAGCTTTGAAACACTTTTTTTATACAATTTGCAAGTGTATATTTAGAGCGCTTTGAGGCCTATGGTAGAAAAGGAAATATCTTCACATAAATACTAGACAGAAGCATTCTCAGAAACTACTTTGTGATGTTTCAATCCAACTCACAGATTTGAACATTGCTCTTGATAGAGCAGTTTTGAAACACTCTTTTTGAAGAATCTGCAAGTGAATTTTTGGACCACTTTTAGGACTTCATTGGAAACAGGATTTCTTCATATAAAACTAGACAGAAGAATTCCCAGAAACTTCTTTGTGGTGTGTGCATTGAACTCACAGATTTGAACCTTCCTTTCGATAGAGCAGTTTTGAGACACTCTTTTTGTAGAATTTCCAAGTGAATATTTAGAGAGCTTGGAGGTCTATGGTAGAAAAGGAAATATCTTCATATAAAAACTAGACAGAATCTTTCTCAGAAACTACTTTGTAATGTGTGCATTCAACTGACAGTGTTTAAGCTTTCTTTTTATAGAGCAGTTTTGAAACACTCTTTTTGTAGAATTTGCAAGTGTGTATTTAGCGGGCTTTGAACCCTATGGTAGAAAACGAAATATCTTCATATAAAAACTAGACAGAATCATTCTCAGAAACTACATTGTGATGTGTGCATTGAACTCACAGAATTTAACCTTTCTTTTGATAGAACAGTTTTGAAACACCCTGTTTGTAAAGTCTGCAAGTGGATTTTTGGAGCGCTTTGAGGCCTTCCTTGGAAACGGGAATATCTTCACATAAAAATTAGATAGAAGTATTCTCAGAAACTTCTTAGTTATGTCTGCACTCAACTTACAGAGTTGAACCTTCCTTTTGTTAGAGCAGTTTTGAAACATTATTTTTGTAGAATTTGCAAGTGGATATTTTGAGCGCTTTGAGGCCTATGGTAGAAAAGGATATCACTTCATGTAAAACCTAGACAGAATCATTCTCAGAAACTACTTTCTGATGTGTGCGTTCAAGTCACAGTGTTTAAACTTTCTTTTGATAGAGCAGTTCTGAAAGACTCTGTTTGAAAAGTCTGCAAGTGGACATTTGTAGCGCTGTGAGGCCTTATTTGGAAACGGAATTATCTTCACATAAAAAATAGACAGAAGTATTCTCAGAAACTTCTTTGTGATGTCTGCACTCACCTCACAGATTTGAACCTTCGTTTTGATAGAGAAGTTTTGAAACACTCTTTATGTAGAATTTGCAAGTGGATATTTAGACAGCTTTGGGGCCTATGGTAGAAAAAGGAATATCTTCATAGAAAAACTAGACAGAAGCATTCTCAGAAACTACTTTGTAATGTTTGCATTCAACTCACAGAGTTGAACATTCGTTTTGATAGAGCAGTTTTGTAACACTCTTTTTGTAGAATCTGCAAGTGGATATTTGGACTTCTTTGAGGCCTTCGATGAAAACGGGCATTTCTTCATGTAAAAACTAGACAGAAGAATTCTCAGAAACATCTTTGTGATGTGTGCATTCAACTCACACAGTTGAACTTTCCTTTCGATAGAGCAGTTCTGAAAGACTCTTTTTGTAGAATTACCAAGTAGATATTTAGAGCGCTTTGAGGCCTATGGCAGAAAAGGAAATATCTTCATAGAGAAACTAGACAGAGTAATTCTCAGAAACTACTTTGTGATGTGTGCATTAACCTCACAGAGTTGAACATTTCTTTCTATAGAGCAGTTTTGAAACACTCTTTTTGTAGAATTTCCAAGTGGAAATTTAGAGCGCTTTGAGGCCTATGGTGGAAAAGGAAATATCTTCATATAAAAACTAGGCAGAATCATTCTCAGAAACTATTTTGTGATGTGTGCGTTCAACTCACAGAGTTTAATCTTTTTTTGACAGAGCAGTTTTGAAACACTATTTGTAGAATTTGCAAGTGTATATTTAGAGCGCTTTGAGGCCTATGGCAGAAAAGGAAATATCTTCATATAAAAACTAGACAGAAGCATTTTCAGAAACTACTTTGTGGTGTTTGCACTCAACTCACAGAGTTGAACATTCCTCTTGATAGAGCAGTTTTCAAACACTCTTTTTGTAGAATCTGCAAGTGGATATTTAGACCTCTTTGAGGCCTTCATTGGAAA
>NC_000006.12:61378582-61381502 GCF_000001405.40 Homo sapiens
TTGATAGAGCAGTTTTCAAACACTCTTTTTGTAGAATCTGCAAGTGGATATTTAGACCTCTTTGAGGCCTTCATTGGAAACGGGTTTTCTTCACATAAAACTAGACAGAAGAATTCTCAGAAACTTCTTTGTGATGTGTCAATTCAACTAACAGAGTTGAACCTTCTTATCAATAGAGCGGTTTTGAAACACCCTTTTTGTAGAATTTCCAATTGAATATTTAGAGCGCTTGGAGGCCTATGGTAGAAAAGGAAACATCTTCATATATAATGTAGACAGAATCTTTCTCAGAAACTACTTTGTGATGTTTGCATTCAACTCACAGTGTTGAATATTCCTCTTGATAGAGCAGTTTTGAAATACTCTTTTTGTGGAATTTGCAAGTGTGTATTCAGAGGGCTTTGTTGAAACACTCTTTTAGTAGAATCTGCAAGTGGATATTTAGAGCAGTTTGAGGCCTATGGTACGAAAGGAAATTTCTTCCTATAAAAACTAGACAGAATCATTCTCAGAAACAACTTTGTGATGTGTGCGTTCAACTCACAGAGTTTAACTTTTCTTTTGATTGAGCAATTTTGAAGCACCCTGTTTGTGAAGTCTGCAAGTGGATATTTGGAGTGCTTTGAGGCCTTCTTCGGAAACGGGAGTAACTTCCAATAAAATGTAGACAGAAGTATTCTTAGAAACATCTTTGTGATTTCTGCACTGAACTCACAGAATTGAAACTTCCTTTTGATAGAACAGTTTTGAAACACTCTTTTTGTAGAATTTGCAAGTGGATATTTAGAGTGCTTTGGGGCCTATGGTAGAAAAGCAAATATCTTCATAGAAAAACTACACAGAAGCATTCTCAGAAACTACTTTGTGATGCTTGTATTCAACTCACAGTGCTGAACATTCCTTTTGATACAGCAGTTTTGTAACACTCTTTTTGTAGCATCTGCATATGGATATTTGGACCTCTTTGAGGCCTTCTTTGGAAACGGTAATTTCTTCTATAAAAACTAGACAAAATAATTCTCAGAAAATTCTTTGTGATTTGTGCATTAACCTCACAGAGTTGAACGTTTCTTTCAATAGAGCAGTTTTGAAACACTCTTTTTGTACAATATCCAAGTGGATATTTAGAGCGCTTTGAGGCCAATGGTGGAAAAGGAAATATCTTCATAGAAAAACTAGACAGAAGCATTCTCAGAAGATAATTTGTGATGTGTGCATTCAACTGACAAAGTTCAACCTTTATTTTGATAGAGCAATTTTGAAACACTCTTTTTGTAGAACTTCCAGTGGATATTTAGAGTGATTTGAGGTCTATGGTAGCAAAGGAAATATCTTCACATAAAAACTACACAGAAGAATTCTGAGAAACTACTTTGTGATGTTTGCATTCAACTCACAGAGTTGAACATTCCTTTTGATAGAGCAGTTTTGTAACACTCTTTTTGTAGAATCTGCAAGTGGATATTTGGACCTCTTCGAGACCTTCGTTGGAAACAGGAATTTCTTCATGTAAAAACTAGACAGAAGAATTCTCAAAAACTTCTTTGTGATGTGTGCATTTAACTCACGGAGTTGAACTTCCCTTTTGATAGAGCAGTTTTGAAACACACTTTTGGTAGAATTTCCAAGTGAATATTTAGAGCGCTATGAGGCCTATGGTAGAAAAGGGTATATCTTCATATAAAAACTGGACAGAATCATTCTCAGAAACTACTTTGTGATGTGTGTGTTCAACTCATAGAGTTTAACCTTTCTTTTAATAGAGCAGTTTTCAAACACTCTGTTTGTAAAGTCTGCAAGTGGATATTTGGAGCGCTTTGAGGCCTTCTTTTGAAACGGGAGTATCTTCACATAAAAAGTAGACAGAAGTATTCTCAGAAATTTCTCTGTGATGTCTGAACTCAGCTCACAAGTTGAACCTTCCTTTTGGTAAAGCAGTTTTGAAACACTCTTTTTGTAGAATTTACAAGTGGATATTTAGAGCGCTTTGGGGCCTATGGTAGAAAAGGAAATATCTTCATAGCAAAACTAGACCGAAGCATTCTGATAACCTACTTTGTGATGTTTCCATTCTATTCACAGAGTTGAACATTCCTTTTGATAGAGCAGTTTTGTAACACTGTTTTTGTAGAATCTGCAAGTGTATATTTGGACTTCTTTGAGGCTTTCGTTGGAAACCAGAATTTCTTCATATAAAAACAAGACAGAAGAATTCTCAGAAACTTCTTTGTGATATGTGCATTCAACTCAGAGAGTGGAACATTCCGTTCGATAGAGCAGTTTTGAAACACTCTCTTTGTTGAATTTCCAAGTGGATATTTAGAGCGCTTAGAGGCCTACGGCAAAAAAGGAAATATCTTCATATAAAAACTAGACAGAATCATTCTCAGAAACTACTAAGTGATGTGTGTGTTCAAGTCACAGAGTTTAATCTTTCATTTGATAGAATAGTTTTGAAACACTCTTTTTGTAGTATCTGCAAGTCGATATTTGGATCTCTTTGAGGCCTTCGTTGGAAACGGGATTTCTTCATATACAACTAGACAGAAGAATTTTCAGAAACTTCTTTGTGATGTGTGGATTCAACTCATAGAGTTGAACCTTCCTTTCATTAGAGCAGTTCCAAAACCCTCTTTTTGTAGAATTTCCAAGTAGATAATTAGAGCGCATTGAAGCCTATGGTAGAAAAGGAAATATCTTCATATAAAAACTAGACAGACTCATTCTCAGGAACTACTTCGTGATGTGTGCATTCAACTCACAGAGTTTAACCTTTCTTTTGATAGAACAGGTTTGAAACACTCTTTTTGTAGAATTTGCAGGTGTATATTTAGAGCGCATTGAGACCTATGGTAGAAAAGGAAATATCTTCACATAAAAACTAGACAGAAGCATTGTCAGAAACTACTTTGTGATGTTT
>NC_000006.12:61381602-61393846 GCF_000001405.40 Homo sapiens
GTTGAACATTCCTCTTGATAGAGCAGTTTTGAAACACTCTTTTTGTAGAATCTGCAAGTGGATATTTGGAACTCTTTGAGGCCTTCGTTGGAAATGGGATTTCTTCATATAAAACTAGACAGAAGAATTCTCAGAAACTTCTTTGTGATGTGTGCATTCAACTCACGGAGTTGAAACTTCCTTTTGATAGAGCAGTTTTGAAACACTCTTTTTGTAGAATTTCCAAGTGAATATTTTGGGCACTTTGAGGCCTATGGTAAAAAAGGAAATATCTTCATAGAAAAATTAGACAGAATCATTCTCAGAAACGACTTTGTGATGTGTGCGTTACACTCACAGAGTTTAACATTTCTTTTGATAGAGCAGTTTTGTAACACTCTTTTTGAAGAATCTGCAAGTGTCTATTTGGACCTCTTTGAGGCCTTCATTGGAAACGGGAATTTCTTCACATATAAACTAGACAGAAGATTTCTCAGAAACTTTTTGTAATGTGTGCATTCAACTCACAGAGTTGAACCTTCCTTTTGATAGAGCACTTTGGAAACACTCTTTTTGTAGAATTTCCAATTGGATATTTAGAGCTCTTTGAGGCCTATAGTAGAAAAGGAAATATCTTCATAGAAAAACTAGACAGAATCTTTCTCATAAACTACTTTGTGAAGTGTGTGCTCAATGCACAGAGTTTATCCTTTCTTTTGATAGAATAGTTTTTAAACACTCTTTTTGTAGAATTTGCAAGTGTGTATTTATAGGGCTTTGAGGCCTATGGTAGAAAGGAAATATGTTCACATAAAAACTAGACAGAAATATTCTCAGAAACTACTTTGTGATGTTTGCATTCAACTCACAGCGTTCAACATTCCTTTTGAGAGGGCAGTTTTGAAACACTCTTTTTGAAGAATTTCCAAGTGGATATTTAGAGCACTTTGATTCTTATGGTAGAAAAGAAAATATCTTCGTAGAAAACTAGACAGAATCATTCTCAGAAACTACTTTGTGATGTGTGCGTTCATCTCACAGAGTATAACCTTTCTTTTTATGTAGAAGTTCGGTAACACTCTGTTTGTAAAGTCTGCAAGTGGATATTTGGAGCACTTTGAAGCCTTCATTGGAAACGGGAATATCTTCACATAAAAAGTAGACAGAGGTATTCTCAGAAACTTCTTTGTCATGTCTGCACTCAACACACAGAATTGAGCTATCCTTTTGATAGAGCAGTTTTGAAACACTCTCTTTGTAGAATTTGCAAGGGGATATTTAGAGCGCTTTGAGGCCTATGGTAGAAAAGGAAATATCTTCATATAAAAACTGGACAGAATCATTCTCAGAAACTACTTTGTGATATGTGCATTCAACTCACAGAGTTTAACCTTTCTTTTGATAGAGTAGTTTTGAAACACTCTGTTTGTAAAGTCTGCAAGTGGATATTTGGAGCTTTTTGAGGCCTTCTTTTGAAACGGGAGTATCTTCACATAAAAAGTAGACAGAAGTATTCTGAGAAACTTCACTGTGATGTCTGCACTCAACTCACAGAGTTGAACCTTCCTTTTGATAAAGCAGTTTTGAAATACTCTTTTTGTAGAATATGCAAGTGGATAATTAGAGCGCTTTGGGGCCTGTGGTAGAAAAGGAAATATCTTCGTAGCAAAACTATACAGAAGCATTCTGAAAAACTTCTTTTTAATGTTTGTATTCAACTCACAGAGTTGAACATTCTTTTTGATAGGGAAGTTTTGTAACTCTCTTTTTGCAGAATCTGCCAGTGTATATTTGGACCTCTTTGAGGCATTCGTTGGAAACGGGAATTTCTTCATATAAAAACTAGACAGAAGAATTCTCAGAAACTTCTTTGTGATATGTGCATTCAACTCACAGAGTGGAACATTCCTTTCGATAGGGCCGTTTTGAAACACTCAATTCGTTGAATTTCCAAGTGGATATTTAGAGCACTTTGAGGCCTATGGCAGAAAAGGAAATATCTTCGTAGAAAAACTAGACAGAATCATTATCAGAAACTACTTTGTGATGTGTGCGTTCAAGTCACAGAGTTTAACCTTTCTTTTGATTGAGCAGTTTTGAAACACTCTTTTTGTAGAATTAGCAAGTATGTATTTAGAGCCCTTTGAGGGCTATGGTAGAAAAGGAAACATCTTCATAGGAAAACTACACAGAGTCATTCACAGAAAGTACTTTGTGATGTGTGCATTTTACTCACAGAGATTAACCATTCTTTAGATAGAGCAGGTTTGAAACTCTCTTTTTGTAAAGTCTTCAAGTGTATATTTGGAGCGCTTTGGGGCCTTCTTTGGAAAAGGGAGTATCTTCACATAAAAGTAGACAGAAGTATTCTCAGGAACTACTTTGTGATGTCTGCACTCAACTCACAGAGTTGAAATTTCCTTTTGATAGAGCAGATTTGAAACACCCTTTTTGTAGAATTTCCAAGTGGATATTTAGAGCGCTTTGAGTCCTATGGTAGAAAAGGAAATATCTTCATATAAAAACTATACAGAATCATTCTCAGGAACTACTTTGTGATGTGTGCGTTCAACTCACATAGTTTAAACTCTCTTTTGATAGAGCAGTTTTGAAACGCTGTTTTTGTGGAATTTGCAAGAGTGTAATTAGGCGGCTTTGACGCCTATGGTAGAAAAGGAAGTATCTTCACATAAAAACTAGACAGACGCATTCTCAGATACTACTTTGTGATGTTTGCATTCAACTCACAGAGTTCAACATTCCTTTTGATAGAGCAGTTTTGAAACACTATTTTTGTATAATCTGCAAGTGGATATTTGGATCTCTTAGAGGCCTTCGTTGGAAACGGGAATTTCTTCACATAAAAACTAGACAGAAGAATTATCAGAAACTTTTTCTGATGTGTGCATTCAACTCACAGAGTTGAACCTTCCTTTTGATAGAGCAGTTTTGAAAAAATCTTTATGTGGGATTTCAAAGTGGATTTTTAGAGCGGTTTGAATCCTTTGGTAGAAAAGGAAATATCTTCATAGAAAAAATAGACAGAATCATTCCCAGAAACTGCTTTGTGATGTGTGCGTTCAACTCACAGAGTTTAACATTTCTTAGAACAGTTTTGAAACACTCTTTTTCTAGAATTTGCAATATTATATTTAGAGCGCTTTGAGGCCTATGGTAGAAAAGGAAATATCTTCACATAAAAACTATACAGAAGCATTCTCAGAAACTAGTTTTTGATGTTTGCTTTCAACTCACAGAGTTGAACATTCCTCTTGATAGAACTGTTTTGAAACACTCTTTTTGTAGAATCTTCAATTGGATACTTGGACCTCTTTGAGGACTTCGCTGGAAATGGGATTTCTTCATATAAAACTAGAAAGAAGAATCTCAGAAACTTCTTTGTGATGTGTGCATTCAACTCACAGAGTTGACTCTTCCTTTCGATAGAGCAGTTTTGATACACTCTTTTTGTAGAATTTCCAAGTGGATAACTAGAGCACTTGGAGGCCTATGGTAGAAAAGGAAATATCTTCATAGAAAAACTACACGGAATCATTCTCAGAAACTACTTTGTGATGTGTGTCTTCAACTCACAGTTTAACCTTTCTTTTGATAGAGCAGTTTTGAAACACTCTTTTTCTATAGTTTGCTGTTGTATATTTAGAGTGCTTGGAGGCCTATGGTAGAAAACGAAATATCTTCATATAAAAACTAGATGGAAGCATTCTCAGAAACTACTTTGTGATGTTTCCATTGAACTCCCAGATTTGAACATTCCTGTTGATAAAGCAGCTTTGAAACACTCTTTTTGAATAATCTGCAAGTGGATATTTGGACCACTTTGAGGCCATCCTTGGAAACGGGAATTTCTTCACATAAAAACTAGACGGAAGAATCCTCAGAAACTTTTTGTGATGTGTGCATTCAACTCGCAGTTTGAACCTTCCTTTTGATAGAGCAGTTTTGGAACACTCTTTGTGTAGAATTTCCAAAAGGATATTTAGGGCACTTTGAAGCCTATGGTAGAAAAGGAAATATCTTCACAGAAAAACTAGACAGAATCATTCTCTGAAACTGCCTTGTGATGTGTGCGTCCAACTCACAGAGTTTAACCTTTCTTTTAATAGAGCAGTTTTGAAACACTCTGCTTGTAAAGTCTGAAAGTGGATATTTGGTGTGCTTTGAGGCCTTCTTTGGAAGCGGAAGTATCTTCACATAAAAAGTAGACAGAAGAATTCTGAGAAACTTCTTTGTGATGTCTGCACTCAACTCACAGAATTTAACCTTCCTTTTGATAGAGCAGATTTGAAACACTCTTTTTGTAGAATTTGCAAGTGGATATTTACAGCGCTTCTGGGCCTATGGTAGAAAAGGAAATATCTTCATAGAAAAACTACGCAGAATCATTCTGAGAAAATACTTTCTGATGTTTGCATTCAACTCACATAGTTGAACATTCCTTTTGATAGAGCAGTTTTGTAACACTCTTTTTGTAGAATCTGCAAGTGTATATTTGGACCTCTTTGAGACCTTCCTTGGAAACGTGAATTTCTTCATATAAAAACTATACAGAAAAATTCTCAGAAAATTCTTTGTGATGTGTGCATTCAACTCAGAGAGCTGAACGTTTCTTTCGATAGAGCCGTTTTGAAACATTCTTTTCGTAGAATTTCCAAGTGGGTATTTAGAGTGCTTTGAGACCTAAGCTATAAAAGAATATATCTTCATATAAAAACGAGACAGAATCATGCTCAGAAACTACTTTGTGATGTGTGCCTTCAACTCACAGAGCTTAACCTTTCTTTTGATAGCACAGTCTTTTAACACTCTTTTTGTAGAATTGGCATGTGTATATTTAGAGTGCTTTGAGGACTACTGTAGAAAAGGAAATATCTTCATATAAAAATTAGACAGAAGCATTCTCAGGAACTACTTTTTGATGTTTGCATTCACCTCACAGAGTTGAATATTTCTCCAGATAGAGAAGTTCTGAAACACTCTTTTTGTGTAATCTGCAAGTGGATATTTTGATCTTTTTGAGGACTTCATTGAAAACGGGATTTCTTCATATAAAAGTAGACAGAAGAATTCTCAGAAACTTCTTTGTGCTGTGTGCTTTCAACTCACAGAATTGAACCTGCATTTCGATACAGCAGTTTCAAAACACTCTTTTGGTAGAATTTCCAAGTGAATATTTAGAGCGCTTGGAAGCCTACGGTTGAAAAAGTAATATCTTCATATAAAAACTACACAGAATCATTCTCAGAAACTATTTTGTGAAGTGTGCGTTCAACTCACAGAGTTTAAGCTTTCTTTTGATAGAGCAGTTTTGAAACACACTTTATGTAGTATTTGCAAGGTTATATTTAGAGCGCTTTGAGGCCTATGGTAGAAAAGGAAATATCTTCACATAAAAACTAGACAGAAGCATTCTCAAAAACTACATTGTGACGTTTGCATTCAACTCACAGAATTGAAAATTCCTATTGATAGAGGAGTTTTGAAACACTCTTTTTGAAGTATCTGCAACTGGATATATTGATGTCTTTGAGGCCTTAGTTGGAAACGGGCATTTCTTCATATAAATCTAGACAGAAGAATTCTCAGAAACTTCTTTGTGTTGTGTGCATTCAATTCACAGAGTTGAAACTTCCTTTCGATAGAGTAGTTTGATACTCTCTTTTTGCAGAATTTCCAAGTGGATATTTAGAGCGCTTGGAGGCCTATGGTAGAAAAGGAAATAAGTTCATAGAAAAACTACACAGAATCATTCTCAGAAATTATTTTGTGATGTGTGCATTCAACTCACAGAGTTTAACCTTTCTTTTATAGAGCAGTTTTGAAACACTCTTTTTGTAGAGTTTGCAAGTGTATATTTAGAGTTCTTGGAAGCCTATGGTATAAAAGGAAATATCTTCATATATAAACAAGATGGAAGAATTCTCAGAAACTACTTTGTAATGTTTGCATTCAACTCACAGAGTTGAACATTCCTATTGAGAGAGCAGTTTTGAAACAATCTTTTTGAAGAATCTACAACTGGATATTTAGACCTCTTTGAGGCCTTCATTAGGAACGGGATTTTTTCATATAAATCTAGACAAAAGATTTCTCAGAAATTTCTTTGTGATGTGTGCATTCAACTCAGAGAGTTGAATCTCCCTTTCGATAGAGCAGTTTTGAAACACTCTTTTTTTTAGAATTTCCAAGTGAATATTTAGAGCGCTTTGAAGCCTATGGTAGAAATATCTTCATATAAAATCTAGACAGAATCATTCTCAGAAACTACTCTGTGATGTGTGCGTTCAACTCACAGAGTTTAACCTTTCTTTTGATAGAGCAGTGTCGAAACACTCTGTTTGTAATGTCTGCAAGTGAATATTTGGAACGCTTTGAGGCCTTCTTTGGAAACAGGAATATCTTCACATAAAAAGTAGGCAGAAGTATTCTCAGAAACTTCTTTGTGATGTCTGCACTCAACTCACAGAGTTGAACATTCCTTTTGACAGAGCAGTTTTGAAAAACTCTTTTTGTAGAATTTGAAGTGGATATTTAGAGCACTTTGAGACCTATGTTAGAAAAGGAAATATCTTCATATAAAAACTAGACAGAATCATTCTCAGAAACTACTTTGTGATGTGTGCGTTCAGCTCACAGAGTTTAAACTTTCCTTTGATAGAGCAGTTTTGAAACACTCTTTTTGTAGAAGCTGCAAGTGCATATTTGGAACTCTTTGAGGCCTTCGTTGGAAAGGGGATTTCTTCTTATAAAACTAGACAGAAGCATTAACAGAAACTTCATGGTGATGTGTTCGTTTCACTTTCAGAGTTTAACCTTTCTTTTGATAGAGCAGTTTTGAAACACTCTTTTTGTAGAATTTCCAAGAGAATATTAAGAGCACTTGGAGGCCTATGATAGAAATGTAAGTATCTTCATATAAAAACAAGGCAGAATCATTCTCAGAAAGTACTCTGTGATGTGTGCGTTTAACTCACGTGGTTAACCTTCCTTTTGATAGACTAGTTTTGAAACACTCTTTCTGTAGAATTTGCAAGTGTATATATAGAGCGCTTTGAGGCCTACAGTAGAAAAGGGAATATTTTCATACAAAAACTAGACGGAAGCATTCTCAGAACCTACTTTGTGATGTTTGCATTCAACTCACAGAGTTGAATATTGCTCTTGATAGAGCAGTTCTGAAACACTCTTTTTGCAGAATTTGCAAGTGAATATTTGAACCTCTTTCAGGCCTTCGTTGGAAACGTGATTTCTTCATATAAAACTAGACAGAAGAATTCTCAGAAACTTCTTTGTGACGTGTGCATTCAACTCACAGTGTTGAACCTACTTCCGATAGGGCAGTTTTGAAACACTCTTTTTGTAGTATTTCCAAGTGAATATTTAGATCACTTGGAGGCCTACCGTAGAAAAGGAAATATCTTCTAGAAAAACTGGACAGAATCATTCTCAGAAACTACTTTGTGATGTGTGCATTAAACTCACAGAGTTTGACCTTTCTTCTGTACAGCAGTTTTGAAATGCTTTTTTTGTAGAATTCGCCAGTGTGTATTTAGAGGGCTTTGCGGCCTATGGTAGAAAAGGAAATATGTTCACATAAAAACTAGAGTGAAGCATTATCAGAAGCTACTTTGAGATGTTTGCATTCAACTCACAGAGTTTAACATTCCTTTTGATGGAGCAGTGTTGAAACACTCTTTTGTAGAATCTGCAAGTGGATATTTGCACCTCTTTGAGGCCTTCGTTGGAAACGAATTTCTACACATAAAAACTAGACCGAAGAATTCTCAGAAACGTTTTGTGATGTGTGCATTCAATTCACAGAGTTAAAACTTCCTTTTCATAGAGCAGTTTTGAAACACTCTTTTTGTAGAATTTCCAATTGAATATTTAGAGCGCTTGGAGGCCTATGTTAGAAAAGTAAATATCTTCATATAAAAACGAGGCAGAATCAGTCTCAGAAACTACTCTGTGACGTGTGCCTTCAACTCATATGGTTTAACCTTCTTTTTGATAGAGCAGTTTTGAAACACTCTTTTTGTAGAATTTCCAAGTGTATATTTGGAGGGCTTTGAGGCCTATGGTAGAAAAGGAAGTATCTTGTCAAACAACTAGACAGAAACATTCTCAGAACCTACTTAGTGATGTTTGCATTCAGCTCACAGAAATGAACATTCCTCTTGATAGATCAGTTTTGAAACACTCTTTTTAGAGAATCTGTAAGTGGATATATGGACCTCTTTGAGGCCTTCGTTGGAAACGGGAATTTCTTCAGCTAAAACAAAACAGAAGAATTCTCAGAAACTTCTTTGTGATGTGTGCATTCAACTCACGGAGTTGAAACTTCCTTTGGATAGAGCAGTTTTCTAACACTATTTTTCTAGAATTTACAAGTGGATATTTAGAGCGCTTTGAGGCAAATGTTATAAAAGGTAATATCTTCATAGAAAAATGACAGAATCATTCTCAGAAATTATCTTGTGATGTGTGCGTTCAACTCACAGAGTGTAACCTTTCTTTTGATAGAGCAGCTTTGGAACACTCTTTTGGTCATATTTGCAACTGTGTATTTAGAGTGCTTTGAGGCCTATGGTAGAAAAGGATATATCCTGTCATAACAACTAGACAGAAGCGTTCTCAGAACCTACTTTGTTATGTTTGCATTCAACTCACAGAGTTGAACATTCCTCTTGATAAAGCAGTTTTGAAACACTCTTTTTATAGAATCTGTAAGTGTATATATGGACCTCTTTGAGGCCTTCGTTGGAAAAGGGAGTTTCTTCATATAAAAACTAGACAGAAGAATTTTCTGAAATTTCTATGTGATGTTTGCATTGAACTCAGAGATTTGAACGTTCCTTTTGATAGAGCAGTTTTGAAACACTCTTTTTGTAGAATTTCTCAGTGGATATTTTGAGCTTTTTGAGGTCTGTTGTAGAAAAGAAAATATCTTCATAGAAAAACTAGACAGAATCATTCTCAGAAACTGCTTTGTGATGTGTGCGTTCAACTCACAGAATTTAAATTTTTTTGATAGAACAGTTTTGAAACACTCTTTTTGTAGAATTTGCAAGTGTATATTTAGAGTGCTTTGAGGCCTATGGTAGAAACGGAAATATCTTCATGTAAAAATTAGACGGAAGCATTCTCAGAAACTACTTTGTGATGTGTGCGTTCAACTCACAGAATTTAAATTTCTTTTGATAGAACAGTTTAGAAACACTCTTTTCGTAGAATTTGCAAGTGTATATTTAGAGTGCTTTGAGGCCTATGGTAGAAAAGGAAATATCTTCATGTAAAAACTAGACGGAAGCATTCTCAGAAACTTCTTTGTGATGTTTGCATTCAACTCACAGAGTTCAACATTCCTCTTGGTAGAGCAGTTTTGAAACACTCTTTTTGTAGGATCTGCAAATGGATATTTGGAGCGCTTTGAGGCCTTCGTTGGAAACGGGATTGCTTCATATAAAACAAGACAGAAGAATTCTCAGAAACTACTTTGTGATGTATGAGTTCAACTCACAGAATTTAACCTTTCTTTTGAGAGAGCAGTTTGGAAACACTCTGATTTTAAAGTCTGGAAGTAGATATTTAGAGCGCTTAGAGCCCTTCTTTGGAAAGGGGAGTATCTTCACATAAAAAGTAGACAGAAGTATTCGCAGAAACTTCTTTAAGATGTCTGCACTCACTCACAGAGTTGAACCTTTCTTTCGGTAGAGCCGTTATGGAACACTCTTTTTGTAGGATTTGCAAGTGTATATTTAGAGCGCTTTGAGGCCTATGGTAGAAAATGAAATATGTTCACTAAATAACTAGACAGAAGCATTGTCAGAAACTACTTTGTGATGTTTGCATTCAACTCACGGAGTTGAACATTCCTCTTGATAGAGCAGTTTTGAAACACTCTTTTTGTAGAATCTGCAAGAGGATATTTGGACCTCTTTGAGGCCTACGTTGCAAACGGGATTAATTCATATAAAACTAGACAGAAGAATTCTCAGAAACTTCTTTGTGATGTGTGCATTGAACTCACAGAGTTGAACCTTCCTTTAGATAGAGCAGTTGTGAAACACACTTTTTATATACTTTCCAACTGAATATTTAGGGCGCTTGGAGGCCTGCGGTAGAAAAGGAAATATCTTCATAGAAAAACTAGACAGAATCATTCTCAGAAGCTACACTGTGATGTGTGCATTCAACTCACACAATTTAACCTTTCTTTTGATAGAGCAATTTTGAAATCTTCTTTTTGTAGAATTTGCAATTGTGCATTTAGAGGGCTTTGAGACAGATGGTCGAAAAGGAAGTATCTTTATGTAAAAGCTAGACAGAAGCATTCTCAGAAACTAATTTGTGATGTTTGCATTCAACACAGAGTTTAACATTCCTTTTGATTGAGCAGTTTTTGAAACCGTCTTTTAGTAGAATCTGCAAGTGCATATTTGGGCCTCTTTGAGGCCTTTGTAGGAAATGGAAATTCTTCATATAAACAAGACAGAAGAATTCTCAGAAACTACTTTGTGATGTGTGCGTTCAACTCACAGAGTTTAACCTTTCTTTTGATAGAGCAGTTTTGAAACACTGTTTATTAAGTCTGCAAGTGGATATTTGGAGTGCTTTGAGACCTATGGTGGAAAAGAATATATGCTCATAAAAAAACTAGACAGAAACATTATCAGAAACTACTTTGTGATGTTTGCATTTATCTCACAGAGTTCAACATTTCTTTTGATAGAGCAGTTTTGAAACAGTCTTTTTGTAGAATATGCAAGTGGATATTTGCACCTCTTTGAGTCCTTCGTTGGAAACGTGAATTTCTTCACATAAAAACTTAACAGAAGAACTTTTCTCAGAAACTTTTTGTAATATGTACATTTAACTCAGAGAGTTGAAATTTCCTGTTGATAGAGCAGTTTTGAAACACAGTTTTTGTAGAATCTCCAAGTGGATAACTAGAGCTCTTTGAAGCCTATGGTAGAAAAGGAAATATCCTCATATTAATAGTAGACAGAATCATTCTCAGAAACTACTTTGTGATGAGTGCGTTCAACTCACAGAGTTTAACCTTTCATTTGGTAGAGCAGTTTTGAAACACTCTGTTTGTAATATCTGCAAGTAGATATTTGTAGTGCTTTGAGGCCTTCTTTGGAAAAGGGAATATCTTTACATAAAAAGTAGACAGAAATATTCTCAGAAACTTCGTGATGTCTGCACTCAACTCATAGAGTTGAACCTTCCTTTTGATAGAGCAGTTTTGAAACACTCTTTTTGTAGAATTTGCAAGTGGATATTTAGAGCGCTTTGGGGCCTATGGTGGGAAATGAAATATGTTCATAGAAAAACTACACAGAAGCATTCTCAGAAACAATTTTGTGATGTGTGCGTTCAACTCACAGAGTTTAACATTTCTTTTGGTAGAGCAGTTTTGAAACACTCTTTTTGTAGAATTTGTAAGTGTATATTTAGAGCGTTTTGGGCCTATGGTAGAAAAGGCCCCAGACGCTCTAAATATTTTTCATATAAAAACTACACAGAAGCATTTTGAGACACTGCTTTGTGATGTTTGCATTCAACTCACAGAGTTGAACATTCCTTTTGATAGAGCAGTTTTGTAACACTCTTTTTGAAGAATCTGCTAGGCGATATCTCAACCTCTTTGAGGATTTCATTGGAAACCAGAATTTCTTCATATAAAAACTAGACAGAAGTATTCTCAAAAACTTATTTGTGATGTGTGCATTCAACACAGAGAGTTGAACGTTCCTTTTGATAGAGCTGTTATGAAACGCTCTTTTTTGGATTTCCAAAGTGGATATTTAGAGCGCTTTGAGGCCTATGGTAGAAAAGGAAATATCTTCATAGCAAAACTAGACAGAATCGTTCCCAGAAACTACTTTTGATGTGTGCGTTCAACTCACAGAGTTTAACCTTTATTTTGATAGAGTGGTTTTGAAACACTCTTTTTGTAGAATTTGCAAGTGTATATTTAGAGCGCTTTGGGACTATAGTGGAAAAGGAAATATGTTCATAGAAAAACTAGACAGAATCATTCTCAGAAACTACTTTGTGATGTCTGCGTTCAACTCACAGAGTTTAAATTTTCTTTTGATAGAGTAGTTTTGAAACTCTCTTTTTGTAGAATCAGCAAGTTTATACTTAGAGCGCTTTGAAGCCTATGATAGAAAAGGAAATATCTTCACATAAAAACTAGACAGAAGCATTCTCAGAAACTACTTTGTGATGTTTG
>NC_000006.12:61393946-61398161 GCF_000001405.40 Homo sapiens
CTTAGAGCGCTTTGAAGCCTATGATAGAAAAGGAAATATCTTCACATAAAAACTAGACAGAAGCATTCTCAGAAACTACTTTGTGATGTTTGCATCCAACTCACGGAGTTGAACGTTCCTTTCGATAGAGCAGTTTTGAAACACTCTTTTGTATAATTTCCAAGTGGATATTTAGAGCACTTGGAGGACTATGGTAGAAAAGGAAATATCTTCATAGAATAACTAGAGAGAATCATTCTCAGAAACTACTTTGTGATGTGTGCGTTCAACGTACAGAGTTTAACCTTTATTTTGATAGAGTGGTTTTGAAACACTCTTTTTGTCGAATTTGCAAGTGTATATTTAGAGGGCTTGGAGGCCTGTGGTAGAAAAGGAAAATCTTCACATAAAAACTAGACAGAAGCATTCTCAGAAACTGTTCTGTGATGTTTGCATTCAACTCCTAGAGTTCAACATTCCTTTAGATAGAGAAGTTTTGAAACACTCTTTTTGTAGGACCCGCAATTGGATATTTGGACCTGTGTGAGGTCTTCTTTGGAAATAGGACTTCCTTCACATAAAAATTAGACAGAAGAATTCTCAGAAACTTTTTGTGATGTGTGCATTCAACTCACAGAGTTGAACCTTTCTTTTGATAGAGTAGTTTTGAAACACTGTTTTTGTACAATTTCCAAATGGATACATAGAGCACTTTCAAGCCTATGGTAGAAAAGGAAATATCTTCATATAAAAACTAGACATAATCATTCTCAGAAACTACTTTGTGATATGTGTGTTGAACTCAAAGAGTTTAACCTTTCTTTTGTTAGAGCAGTTTTGAAACACTCTGTTTGTAATGTCTGCAAGTGGATATTTGGAGCGCTTTGAGGACTTCCTTGGAAACGGGAATATCTTCACATAAAAAGTACACAGAAGTATTGTCAGAAACTTCTTTGTGATGTCTGCACTCAACTCACATAGTTGAAACTTCCTTTTGATAGAGCAGTTTTGAAACACTCTTTTTGTAGAATTTGCAAGTGGATATTTAGAGAGCTTTGAGGCCTATGGTTGAAAAGAAAATATCCTCATATAATAATTAGACAGAATCATTCTCAGAAATTTATTTGTGAAGTGTGCATTCAACTCACAGATTTTAACATTTCTTTTGATAGAGCAGTTTTGAAACACTCTGTTTTCAACGTCTGTAACTAGATATTTGGAGTGTTCTGAGGCCTTCTTAGGAAACGGGAGTATGTCCACATAAAATGTAGACAGAAGTATTCTCAGAAACTTCTTGGTGATGTCTGCACTCAACTCACAGAGTTGAACCTTCCTTTTGATAGAGCAGTTTTGAAACCTTCTTTTTGTAGAAATTACAAGAGGATATTTAGAGCGCTTTGCGGCCAATGGTGGAAAAGGAAATATGTTCATAGAAAAACTACACAGAAGCATTCTCAGAAACTGCTTTGTGATGTGTGGGTTCAACTCACAGAGTTTTACCATTCTTTTGATAGAGCAGTTTTGAAACACTCTTTTTGTTAAAATTGCAAGTGTGTATTTAGAGGGCTTTGAGGCCTATGGTAGAAAAGAGAATATCTTCACATAAATACTAGACAGAGGTATTCTCAGAAACTACTTTGTGATGTTTGCATTCAACTCACAGATTTGAACATTCCTCTTGATAGAGCAGTTTTGAGACACTCTTTTTGTAGAATCTGCAAGTGGATATTTTGACCTTTTTCAGGCCCCCGTTGGAAACAGGATTTCTTCATATAAAACTAGACAGAAGAATTCTCAGAAACTTCTTTGGGATGTGTGCATTCAACTCACGGAGTTGAACCTCCCTTTTGATGGAGCAGTTTTGAAAAACTCTTTTTGTAGAATTTCCAAGTGAATATTTAGAGCACTTGGAGGCCTCTGGTTGAAAAGGAAATTTCTTCATAGAAAAACTAGACAGAACCATTCTCAGAAACTACTTTTTGATGTGTGCATTCAATTCACAGAGTTTAACCTTACTTCTGATAGAGCAGTTTTGAATCGACCTTTTTGTAGAATTTGCAAGCATATGTTTAGAGGGCTTTGTGGCATATATTTGAAAAGGAAATATCTTCATATAAAAACTAGACAGAATCATTCTCAGAAACTGCTATGTGATGTGTGCGTGCAACTCACAGAGTTTAACTTTTCTTTTGATAGAGCAGTTTTTAAACACTCTTTTTGTAGAATTTGCAATTGCATATTTAGAATGCTTTCAGGCCTATGGTAGAAAAGGAAATATCTTCACAAAAAACTAGACGGACACATTCTCAGAAACTACTTCGTGTTGTTTGCATTCAACTCACAGAGTTGAGCATACCTCTTGATTGATAGAGCAGTTTTGAAACACTCTTTTTGTGGAATCTGCAAGTTGATATTTGGACCTCTTTGAGGCCTTCGTTGGAGATGGGATTTCTTCATATAAACTAGACAGAATTCTCAGAAACTTCTTTTTCATGTCCGCATTCCACTCACAGAGTTGAACCTACCCTTCGATAGAGCAGTTTTGAAACACACTTTTTGTAGAATTTCCAAGTGAATATTTAGAGCGCTTGGAGGTCTGTGTTAGAAAAGGAAATGTCTTCATATAAAAACTAGACAGAGTCATTCTCAGAAACTACTTAGTGATGTGTGTGTTCAACTCACAGAGTTTAAACTTTCTTTTGATAGAGCAGTTTTGAAAAACTCTGTTTGTAAAGTCTGTAAGTGGATATTTGGAGTTCTTTGAGACCTTCTTCAGAAACGGTAGTATCTTTACATAAAAAGAATACAGAAGTATTCTCAGAAACTTCATTGTGATGTCTGCACTCATCTCACAGAGTTTAACCTTTCTTTTGATAGAGCAGTTTTGAAGCACTCTTTTTGTAGAATTTGCAAGTGGATATTTAAATCTCTTATGGGCCTATGGTGGAAAAGGAAGTATGTTAATAAAAAAACTAGACAGAAGCGTTCTCAGAAACTACTTTGTGATGTTTGCATTCAACCCACAGAGTTCAACATTCCTCTTGGTAGAACAGTTTTGAAACACTCTTTTAGTAGAATCTGCAAGTGGATATTTGGACCTCTTTGAGGCCTTCTTTGGAACGGGAATTTCTTTACATAAAACTAGTCAGAAGAATTCTGAGAAACTTCTTTGTGTTGTGCATTCAACTCACAGAGCTGAAAATTCTTTTCAATATAGCAGTTTTGAAACACTCTTTTTGTAGAATTTCCAAGGGTATATTTATAGCGCTTTGATGCGTATGGTAGAAAAGGATATATCTTCATAGAAAAACTAGACAGAACCATTCTCAGAAACTATTTTGTGATGTGTGCATTCAACTCACAGAGATTAACCTTTCTTTTGATAGTGCAGTTTTGAAACACTCTTGTTGTAGAATTTGCAAATGTATATTTAGTGCTTTGAGTCTTATGGTAGAAAAGGAAATATCTTCACATAAAAACTAGGCAGAAGCATTCTCAGAAACTTCTTTCTGATGTTTGCATTCAACTCACAGGGTTGAACATTCGTTTTAATAGAGAAGTTTGGAAACACTGTTTTTGTAGAATCTGCAGGTGGATATATAGAGCGCTTTGAGGCCTATGATAGAAAAGGAAATATCTTCACATAAAAACTAGACAGAAGCATTCTCAGAAACTACTTTGTGATGTTTGCACTCAACTCATGAAGGTGAACATTTTTATTGATAGAGCAGTTTTTAAACACTCTTTTTGTTGATTCTGCAAGTGGATATTTGGACCTCTTTGAGGTCTACTTTGCAAACGGGATTTTCTTCATATAAAACTAGACAGAAGAATTCCCAGAAACTTCACTGCGATGTGCACATTGAACTCACACTGTTGAACACACCTCTGGTTAGAGAAGTTTTGAAACACTCTTTTTGTAGAATCTGCAAGTGGATATTTTGACCTCTTTGAGGCCTTCTTTGGGAAAGGGATTTCTTCATGTAAAACTAGACAGAAGTATTCTCAGAAACTTCTTGGTGATGTCTGCACTCAACTCACAGAATTGAACCTTCCTTTTGATAGAGCATTTTTGAAACACTCTTTGTAGAATTTGCAAGTGTGTATTTAGAGGGCTTGGAGGCCTATGGTAGAAAGGGAAATGTCTTCACATAAAAACTAGACAGAAGCATTCTCAGAAACTTCTTTGTGATGTCTGCACTCAACTCACAGAGTTTAACCTTCCTTTTGAAAGAG